>NC_000006.12:18393333-18544848 GCF_000001405.40 Homo sapiens
AGCTACAACACTGGCCACAAAGGAGGTCTACCATAAGCCCTTGCTTCCTTCATTGCTGTTGCTACTGCTACCAGCCAGCAGGTCACCCTGCCATTGTATTTGGATTGTATTTAGGGTAGAACTTCAGCTAATGGCTGATAATGCTCAGCACTTTACTAGACTCAATTAGTACCATTGGGTTCACTAATAGTTTCTGTTAGGAAAAGGAACCAGTAGCTAACCAAACTACTCTATTGGGCAGAAGTACCAAGATCAACATAATGCTGATTTTCAGATTGCATTGAGTGGAAACTGGTTGCCTGGTGTGTTCTTAGCTGATATGGGGATAGCTTTCCTAACAAGGCAAGGATGGGACCTTTAGATTGCTGCTCTTTTTTTCTGCTTTATTAGAATATTAGCTTCCCGAGAATATGTCTCCATTTTACAAGGCAACACTTCAGCCTTTCTTCATCACCACCCACCCTTCTCAAAAACTTTCCCCTTTGCTACCTCCCTCCCATATTTATGCATTCATATCTGTTATTCTAGCTACTTCACAGTGATGACTCGATGTCTCACAAAGGCATATAAACACATTGAGAGTATACATATGTCTCCTCTTCTGTTTGTCCCCTGTACTTGAGTAACTCTTAGAATTTCATAGCATAGCTTGGAATTAAGACCTCAGTGCAGATCAACTGGATTTTTATTTACATTAATATCCTGTGGCATCAGTAATATCTAGCTGATTCATTTTAGTAGCTTTCTATTTCTCTTAGTCTCCTTAGTTGTGCTTTAGCAGTTTCTCCAAATTTTAAAGTTTCTGCATAATAAAGTAAAAATTCCAAAATAATTAGGGATAAGTGTCCTAATAATAATTAGGGTAAGTATCCTAATAAAACATTATCCCTTCCAATTACACTATCTTTTTGTGTAAGGGAATAACTGTGTTGATTTTGGATAATCAAACAGACATAAACTACATTGGTTAAAAATACTTTGAATAGCTGGGTGTGGTGGCTTACACCTGTAATCCCAGCACTTTGGGAGGCCGAGGTGGGCGGATCATGAGGTCAGGAGTTCAAGACCAGCCTGGTCAATATGGTGAAACCTCGTCTCTACTAAAAATACAAAAATTAGCCCGGCGTGGTGGTGGGCACCTGAAATCCCATCTACTTGGAACGCTGAGGCAGGAGAATTGGTTGAACCCGGGAGGTGGAGGTTGCAGTGAGCTGAGATCATGCCACTGCACTCTAGCGTGGATGACAGAGTGATACTCCGTCCCCTACCCCCCAACCAAGAAAAAAAAAAAAAAGCTTTGAATGTTGGCTCTCCCATCATTTGCATTTTTGGAGCAGATTGCTTTTTCAGGCCATCAGCAGAATATGAAAATTCCTTATACATTCTGTGCTGAAGTATTCCCTTCTTTGACAATTCTAATGACAAGACACGAGGGGAAAGGCGACTTTCCATTCTTTCCTATCAGATAGTACTTGCTTCTCATATAATGAACACTTTATAGTGCAAGAGACACATAGAGCAGGTAGAACTGCTGGTTCTCCTTTCCTGGTAATTTAGTGCAAACTCAGACGTTTCAGAATGGCTTTCCTTCCTTACATGGCCCAACCAATCTGTCTTGTTCTATGATTAGGTATATATAAGCAAGTGATACCTGCTACCAACCTTAGAATGCCTAAACTTGAAAGGCAGCTGTCAGATTTCAAGGTGCCCCTTGCATTCTCTGCCAAAATTCTTTTCACAAGGGGTTCTTGACACTCGGTGAGAGGCACAGTCACATCTATAATCACTGTAAAAGTAATTATAATTGTTAGCTTTTAAAATCAAGTGGTAGGGTGGATAATTCAAGTCACTTTCTTATTTTTGATAGAAATGTGAGGTATGAGGCAGTAGGAGTGAGTTAGCCTCTTTCTGGAATGAAGACTTTTCTTGAAACCTGGAGGGGAGTGGATGTGAATTGCTTGTGCCCCTGTGAAGTTGTGGCCCAATGGGAGGGACAGGAGGAGCTGGGAGTGTGTTATCAAATGCCCTGAGCTTCCTGAGGCTCTACTATTGGGGGTTTCATGCTGTGAAGACCGGTGAATAGTAATATGACACAAAGGAAGAAATGCAAGGAAACCTTGGAGCCATTCACAGGCATCTCAGGTGTGGGGAAATTCATTAGAGGCTTTCAGGATTCTCCTGTTTACTGATTGAAGAGCTCATTTTGCAATGAATCAATGGTGAAAGGATTTCTTGTTTGATATTCTTTTTTTTTTTTAAATGAAGTGCTCACTGCATTTCATTCATTTTTTTAACTATCCATTGTTGGTTTTGCCCAAAGTGAGAAACGAAAGGGTTGGTTTTTAGTCTGTGCATGGTGCAGGTTTAGGCTTCTGCAATGGTGCCTGGGGGGCTGCTGAGTGGGGAAGGTCAAGGGGACTGGCTCTGGACACCCACTATTGGGTGCTGGCACTTGTCTACCTGAATCTCTTTTATACAGTGGTGGTTTGACTAAGATTTTTGTTTTTGAAAGCTCATTGCTTGAAAAATGTCTGAGAGCCATTGCTTTAGGGAATTGGTGTTATTGTACACAGAAAAATAAATCACTTTTTGAAGAATCATTTTGGATTGTTCACATCTCAAGGAGATGAAATATGTAACTTTTTTCCTCTATGTCACTGAGTCATAAGTCCTGCCTTTTTGGAATGCTTGGAATTTTTTAAAAAACAAAATGCATCTCTGCTATGTAAAGGTTTTTCTATTATAAAAATTACATATGTTTTTTATAACTTTGACTTCATAGCCTATAGGCATGTAACTCCTTAGTTTTAAGGAGTAAAAACTTACGTACTGTTTATAGTAAGAGACAATTATGTTTCACATGGTCTTGATTACCACAATTTTTAGTTCTACCTTCAAAAGAAGACTATTTCTAAGAAATATCTAATTATAGGTATTCCATTATGGATAATAATTGAGGTATTATTAGAGGAATCCAATATGTCTTTCAAGAGTATCCAATTAATTTCTAAGAGGTATCCCAATTATGTCTTTGTTTTTCAAGAGTACATTAAAACTTTGGCCTGTTTAATATTTCCTTCTAAAAAAATAATATAGAGTAAGACTGAGAAATACTTGGATTTCTCGAAGAGTACCTAGATCTCTTGCTAGGTCAGAACAACAGGATTGGCTATTCACACCAGCTTTCTCCACATGGCTAAGTGTATTTGACATTTGGGGTGTGGGATGGTTCTGGCCTGTGTCATTACCCTTTTTCTCCTACTCAGGAAGCATTTACTACCTACGTTTCTTCTTGTTGTTTTACTTGGGATTTCTCTTGAAAGAAAGATAATTCAGAATAGATTGCATAAGCAGTGAAGCAGCGTTGAGAATGTACAGGTGAGAAGACAACAGATGGGAAGTTGGTGGGACTGTGTGCCATGAGCCCGGGAGTACTGGAGACGCAAGCTGATGACAGTTGTTTAAGCATGAACTGGGAGGAAGGAAAAGGTAAAGTCATTCATTTTTACCCGTATGTTTATCATAAAGAGAGATTTTTTACAAAAACTCAAAATCCTGAATTTGACGTGCAGGTCTATTTGAATTTAATTTGCTCTTGGATGACAGCTCCTCAGTAGTTAATGGAATAACGCTGTGTCTTGAACTTTATCCGGCATTTGCTGAGAAAAAAACCATGTCTTCCACATGGAAACTAACCATTAGTTAGCTTCCTATTTAATTATTTTGAATCAGGTTTTCTGGTACTGAGTACTGGGAGTAGGTGAAAAACCTTGAATGCTTCAGGTTGCTCGAGTTAGTAATCGTTGACTTTCTGGTATGACATTAAGAAAGTGGATGTGGACAGATTGACAAGCAAATATCTCATTTATTTTTTTCCTTTTCTATCTAATCGAATTTGATTTTCCCCTACTTGTTTTAGTACTTTTGTACTTACATATTGAGACTTAAGCTATTGTTGGGAGTAGGTAGCAAATGATTACATGTAATTTCTTTTGTCTGAAAATTAAGAGGAAAAGAGCTTGGTTCTTGTAGGGGGAGGTGTATTTGCAATTATTTCTATGGCAGAATTTATTAGAATTGGCCACTCTTTAAAAATAGTAAGAACTATAGGATTTTGCTTTTGTTTAACCAGAACATGAAATTTCCAGATGTGATATAAAATATGAATATGTGGAGAAATTATTTTCACAATTATTTAGTCTCTTTTAAAGATAAAGATTCAGAATAAAAACAATCTAGTAGAAGAACTTTGGCTGTAGTTTTTATTTTTCAGTCTAAAGATGTCTTTTCCCATGGTCATGCTGTGTGGGGAGACAAATTTTGTTTCTGTGCAGCTTCAGGGACCTTAAGGATAGCTGTAGTCATGGACTTCAACTCTCTTTTCCTCTTTCTGTCCCCCTTCCTCCTTCTTTTCTCTGCTTCGTCTGTCCATGTGATATCCACACAAGGCAGCTCTGGTGTAATGGATCTGGCACTGGGCTTGGTGGCCTCAGAAGGCTGAGGATTGTCTTCTGCTCTGCCATGTACAAGCTCTGAGAACTTTGGCAGATTACCTAACTTATCAGTATCACAATTAATCTATAAAATGGGGAAAACAATTATTTCATCATCCCAAGCAGAAACTCTGTACCCGTTGAACATGCCAGGTGAGGAAGCATACCCTGACTCGGGAGGTGGAGTCGGGAGGGTCATGTCAGTCCAGGAGTTCGAGGCTGCAGTGAGCTATGATTGTGCCACCACACTCGAGCCTGGGCAACAGAGAGAGACCCTTTCTCTAGGAAAAAAAAACCCCACAAACAGTAACTCTTCATTTCCCCCTCCCACCAGCCCCTGGTAACCTCTATTCTTCTTTTTGTCTCTCAGAATTGACTACTCTAGGTACCTCATTTAAGTGGAATCATACAATATTTGATTTTCTGTCTGGTTTATTTCAGTTAGCATGATGTCTTCAAGGTTCATCCATGTTGTAGCATGTGTCAGAATTTTATTTCTTTTTATTCCACTGTATATATAGACCACATTTTGTTTGTTCTTCTGTCTTTTTAATTTTTTATTTTTTGAGACGTTTCATTCTGTCACCCAGGCTGGAGTGTGGTGACGCAATCTTGACTCACTGCAACCTCTGCCTCCTGGGTTCAAGTGATTCTCCCGCCTCAGCCTCCTGAGTAGCTGGGATTACAGATGTGCCACTGTGCCTGGCTAATTTTGTATTTTTGTATTTTTTGTAATTTTGTATTTTTAGTAGAGACGAGGTTTCACCATGTTGGCCAGGCTGGTCTTGAACTCCTGACCTCAAGCAATCCACCTGCCTCGGCCTCCCACAGTGCTGGGATTACAGGCATGAGCCACTGCGCCCAGCCTCATTCTTCTGCTGATGGACACTTGGGTTGCCTCCACTGTTTGGCTATTGTGAATAATGTTGCTATGAATATGGGTGTACAAATATCTCTTTGAGACCCTGCTTTCAGTTCTTTTGGGTATATACCCGATTGCTGGATCATATGTTACCTCTTTGTTTAACTTTTTGAATGACATTCTATTTTAAGTACTTTTTGAGTCTGTTGAATTGATTGTAGTGATGCAACTCCTAAATATGTTTGCTCATAGTGATATTTCCCGCCCCTGACCTTCATTAAGGTATAATTGACAAATTACATTTGCAGTATACAATGTGATGTTTTGCTCTATGTATATAAATGCTTAAATCAAGCTAATGAACATCATCACTTCACATTTTTCTTTGTGTGTGTGTGGTGAGATCATTTAAAATCTACTCTTGGCCATTTTCAAGTATACAGTGTATTATTACTAACTCTAGTCACCAAGCTGCGTGAGAGCTCCCCAGAACTTATTCATCTCATCTAAATGAAACTTTGTAAGCTTGACCAACATCTCCCCATTCCCACCCCACCATAGTGGTCTTTTAATTTCCATAGCTCATATGATGTGAATCAGGACAGTGAGGTCAGCTTACATTTCAGGACTTCAGGGATACCTTGCCGAGGTAGGTGAACCACTCTCTAGCCCGTCGTTCCCAGAAATGCATTAGCTGTAAGTTTTGGGATAACTGAGGGTGAGAATTTGATCAGCTGGCCTCCAGACGTGTTGGCTAAACAATAGCTTTATCAATCCATATAATATTTTCTGCTTTGGACCTTTCTATAGGGATTGAGGAGACTGAAGAATGCTGAAGACAGGCTGATGGGCTCAGCTGGTAGGCTCCACTATCTCGCCATGACTGCTGAAAATCCCACTCCTGGAGACCTGGCTCCGGCCCCCCTCATCACTTGCAAACTCTGCCTGTGTGAGCAGTCTCTGGACAAGATGACCACACTCCAGGAATGCCAGTGCATCTTTTGCACAGCTGTGAGTTTTCCTTGATGCTTTCACTATGAGAAAATACAAAGGGAAAAATCATAAAAGTAGGATATATTTCTGTGGTTTACTGAGAAACCAGAGTGTGCTACAATATGATCCTGCTTTGGAAAGCATTTCATATTTGAACCTATTTCCAAATAGTATCTTAAATGGTAAATCCTGGGTTTACTTGTTTTAGCTGAGTATAATTTATGTTTGAAATTTAATTATTGGTTGAATAAATAGTCTTTCTGTTAAGGTTCAAACTATGGAACAGAATAGAAAAATTTTAACATGCTGGCCAGGTGCGTTGCCTCACACCTGTAATCCCAGCACTTTGGGAGGCCGAGGCGGGCGGATCACAAGGTCAGAAGATCGAGACCATCCTAGCTAACATGGTAAAACCCCGTCTCTACTAAAAATACAAAAGAAATTAGCTGGGCTTGGTGGCGGGCGCCTGTAGTCCCAGCTACTCGGGAGGCGGAGGCAGGAGAATGGCGTGAACCTGGGAGGCAGAGCTTGCAGTGAGCCGAGATCAGGCCACTGCACTCCAGCCTGGGCGACAGAGCGAGACTCTGTCTCAAAAAAAAAAAAAAAAATTTAACATGCTGTAGTTAACTACCACCTATAAGAAACTCACCAGGTATTTTAAATGATGGAGAAGTCAGGTAGTAATTTACTTTATGTACTGAATTTTCATTCATATACTTGTTCATCTTCTACAATGTACATGATATAAATTGTACTTTGTCATAGCTCCTTTTATGCTGTTTTCACAGTATGCTGAATCCTTCTTATTCCACTTAATGAGAGCCCTATAGACCTGCAGAAGTGGGCTTATCTCTTTTAGTGTGACACCTGGTATCAACACCTGTGACCTTTACTGCCACTTTTCCTTGAAGGTTGGTCGGTTAAGGTATAAAGGTAGGAAATAGATTGAGTTCCTGTAGGCTTCAGTGATGACACAGAATAGCATTGTTCATTTAATCAACAAATATCTGTTGAGCAGGAACTATGTCCCAGGAATGGTTCTAGGCACGAGGATTTATCAGTTAAGGAAACAAAACCCAGCGAAGTTTCTTGCTTTTAGGAGCTTATATTCTATATAAGAACGTTGTGTAGGAGTTCAGGGCTTAGAGGATGTTGCTGTTTTAGGTAGGGGGATCAGAAGTAGGCCTTGCTGAGGAGTGATGTTTGTGCTGCCTCTCCTTCCTCTTGTTGTTAGTGTGTGTTGCTTTATAGGAAGTGAGGAAATGGCCTTGTCATCTCAGAGCAACTTCAGTTTCCTTTGGTCTTGCTTTGTTTCTGAAGGCTGTCCTTCAAAACAATTATTTCTCTGACTTTCTCACCCTTGCTGCAGACCCTTGCTAATCCTTGAAACAAATGAGTCAGAAGCAACATGTGGTGAAAATCAGTATGCAAATATTTCACTGAGGGTTACTGCTGTTTAAAAGAATTCAATTTTTGCTATGACATTTAACAGTGCAGAATTTAAGCGTGTGCGTCAACATTGGGGAAATAATACATGGTGAAGGTTGTATTTCATCTTCTCAGGGAGCTAACACTGTCCTGTTATTGTTTCAGTAGATTTTAGTTCCTGATTCAAAACAGCATGGCTGCTTCTCATTTCTCTTTCAGCAATTTGAGGGTAGGAGTTAGTACAGTTAGCTTTTTCAGTCATCTAGATTCACACTTCCTCATTGTTAGGGAGTGCTCAAAAGCAGAGAGTCAAATGGCTGAATGTTTTTTGGTATCCCTCAATTTTGGATCCTTTTGCACCTAGAAACATTAACTTTCCCTGGCATCCTGTTACCTGTTACCTGTGAGCTGCCAAAATAGTAAGCGGTGTATGATTACATTAGTGTCTGTAAAATTGTAATTTGAATCAGATTCACCTGAAATACTCCTCTAACTTTCTTTTGGTTAGAGATTTATTTCTTGTTTTTAAAAAAATGACTTAAAATGTGTCTAATACTTCCCAGACTTTAATTTGCATCTGTATTCAGTATCAAATGTTTTGTATTTTCGAGGCTGAAAAGAAATTTGTAACTTTTTCATATGCCACATACTACTGACTTCTACTTTTAAACAGAATTGGATGACATCTCCCAATTGCTTGTGCCTACCATATATTTAAAATGGTTTTACTGAGAACCACCCCCCTGCCCCAGGGAGTATCCACATGTAATGATCTTCCTGCTAGATTTGATGTTATGCCGGTATATACTGGTATATGTAATGTATATATTTTTTCTTTTCATGTTAGATGGATAATGTGCTTATGGTGTAACCAGGTTTGAGGGAGGCATATCTCATGTGACTGGGAGAAGCCAATCATCATGCTTATGAACTACAAGAGGATCTATACTGGTATATTTTCTTGGATTTAATAAAGCTTTAACAATATTCTGTCATTGTCCTGTCTTCTGTAAGAGGCATCCCTGGCCATTTTGCTGTGAGCCTAGCTTTTTTTGTTGTTGTTTCCAAGATCACCACACTCCAATTCCAACTCTACCCCAACTCAGCTGTGTAATTGGGCACATGATTAATCTCTTTGGGCCTCTGATTTCTCCTGTGTAAAATGAAGGTGCTAGGATCCTTCACAGTGCTTCAAATAGGGGGTGCAGTATACTCTGGGTATGCAGAAGGGACAGATGTGGAGTATCTGACTTGACCATTGAATGTTAATCAGTTATTTCCTTATCTTTAGAGAGACCTGGCCTTTAAATAGATGCCCCAAGTGTGTTCCACGGACCACCAGCTCTGGGAAACAGAGATATCCTTGAATGAAATGTTCCATGGTCAAATTAGCTTGGGAACTGCAATGTTCTTCTGTTCCTTTCTTAGAGGGATGTAAGGCACATTTGCATATTAGAGGCTCTGTGAAATCTTGTGGTTAAAGGGAAAGCAGGGGAATCTTGTTTAGCTTCTTCTGATGAAGCATTTCCCTTTGACCGTGCCACCCTTTTGAGTGGAACATCTATTGCCCACAACCAGTGCTCTGAGGAACACTGCTTTAAATTATTTCATGTAGGTAATTCTTGATTTAAATAACATCCAGGGAAAGGAATGTGGTAGATGTTGTCTCAAATAAGCCATCAATATTATCTAGGTTCTTGTTAAAGGATGTTCTAGCTGTGAAGATGGTTTCTGCTAGACTGTTTGCTCAGTTTTAATATGCAGAATAAAGTGTAATATAAAGCAAGAGAAGCTGCATATACAGGAAAAATTGGGCATAGTTCTTACTGGCATGACTGACGTCATAGAACATGAGGTGTATTACAGATCCAAAGAGGTTGATGTCTTGGGGTTACAGAGAAAAAGATGTAGCATAATTACTTGTTCTATTTTGAAGGTTAAATATCTCAGGGATGTTTGTCTGTTTATGACATGCAAAGAGTATCTGTCTCTCCCTTCCTCTCTTTTGCCTGTATATTTAAATAACCCAAATATGAAAATTCTAACTTTCCTTTTCTGGGTTTGCAATGCGTTCTTTCAGATAATGCCACATAATGTTAATTCAAGCGAAATAAATTCACAAGTCAGTTATCAAAGTAATGGAAATTTGTGAGTTTGCTCCCTTGTGTACAATATTTGCTTCTGATTTATTTTAGAAGTGATTTCTGTCAGCCGTGAATTAAGGAATAGTGAAAACACAGTTGTTGCTTGTTTTTATAACTTAGATAATTTCACCTGAAAAGAGTCGGTATGTTGGGCATGGCCTATTTACCTTTCAGATTAAATACAGGATGTGCTAAGCAAAAAGAAAATAAAGTCCAGCCATATTCTTGCCTTTTTTCCATTACGTTCTATTGGCTCTAGGTAGTTAGAACTCCTTTTACTATTCATTTCTTGGAGCCAAATGGATTTTCCAATGTTTAAAAAGTGAGAGGAAATATAAAACATTTTAGACCAAGCCGTTCTTTCCCTTGGGGCCTGTCGGGTGACCTTTAAGAAAAGCCCACAGTTGGTTTGGGAGACCGTCTTAGTCCATTTTGTGTTGCTATAACAGAATACAGAGGCTAGGTAATTTATAAAGAAAAGAGGTTTATTTAGCTCACAGTTTTGCAGGTGGAAAGTTAGAGAAGCACGGTGCTGACATCTACTTGGCTTCTGGTGAAGGTCTCATGCTAGGTCAAAACACAGCAGAGAAGGTCAAAGGGAAAGTGGACATGTGAAAAGAGACAAAACCCAAGGGGCATCCTGGCTTTCTAAAAACTCACTCTGGCAGGAACTATTAAGAATTCATTCCCGCAAGAACTAATTCATTCTCGCCACAGCAAGAACTCAGCCACTACCTAGAGAGTGGCACCAAGCCATTCCCCAACTAGGTCCCACCTCCCAACACTACTACACTGGGGAAGAAATTTCAATGTGAATTTTGGTGGGGATAAACAAACCATATCCAAACCATAGCAGAGACATTTACAGTTTGGGAGGATTTGCAATGTGTATGTGCACACACAGTTTGGTAACTTTCAAATGAAGCATGAATCTGTGGTGGATCTTTCCTGGGTTCTAACTGTTACCTGCATTAGGAGAAAGTAATGCCACTTTCCTATTTCTACCTCTGTTTCTCCCTTGCAGTATAGCATAGTGTGTTAGAATGCAGATATGGAGATAAGAAGACTCAGGCTCAAGTTCAGGCTTTGTCATTTGATGGTGTATGATTTGGGGCAAGTTGTTTGCCTTCTCTAGACTTTAGTTTCTTTGCCTGTAAGACGGAGGGAGGGAGGGGTTGACAATACCTACCTTTATTTCCTAAGATCCATCAGTGTGCTGAGCTGTTACGTTCTTCAAAAAGATTTCAGAGAAAGGAAAGCCTATAATGATTTGACTGGCTTCCTCACTAGCCTTTTATAAAAAGGTGGTTATATAGGTAATTACAACCTCACTGCTATTCTGAGATACTCAGAGATTAGCAGTTAGGATAGAGAGAAATGTCTCTTTTGGATTTGTTCAAAGTGTGGCTTTGAAATATTTAAACTAAATATCTAGAATTAGGACTTAACAGGGAAAAAAAAGTGCCAATACAACTTTGACAGTAAATAGATGAGCACATTTATGGTGGATATAAAAGATTCAGATGAAAGGGTGTTTCAAAGTACCACATATTTAAGAACTTGCTTACTTCCAAGAACATAATAATATAATTACTTGTTGGCTTGATATGTTAGTCTAGTATCATTTTAAGTTCCTTTTATTGAGAATTCTCTGGAACCACAAGAAATAATGAGGGATCTTACTCAAGGCCAATGCCACAGAATGATTCTCTGTCCCCTCTTCTGGTCATGAGACCTGCCAACCTTTCCCAAAGCTTTCAAATTCTCCAGCTCCAGATTCCCACGTCTTCTACTACTATTAAATGGGCCGAACTAAGTTCTGCCAGTTCAAAGCACTGTATTATTCTGTTGGTTTCTGGTACCTAAATATGCTTGCTTGCAAGGTTAGTTTTTTTCTTTATTATTATTATTATTATTATTATTGTTATTATTATTTTTGAGATGGAGTCTTGCTCTGTTGCCCAGGCTGGAGTGCAGTGGCACAATCTCGGCTCACTGTAACTTCCGCCTCCCGGGTTCAAGTGGTTCTCCTGCCTCAGCCTCCGGAGTAGCTGGGATTACAGGCATGTGCCACCAGGCCTGACTAATTTTTTTTGTATTTTTAGTTGAGTTGGGGTTTCACTATGTAGGTCAGGCTGGTCTTGAACTCCTGACCTCGTGATCCACCTGCCTCGGCCTCCCAAAGTGCTGGGATTATAGGCGTGAGCCACCGTGCCCAGCCGCAAGGTTAGTTTTATGCTTTCCCTTAACTTTGCTTGGGGTGGTTAGCAGTAAATCAGTGAATTTGTCTTTGTTTGTGAAATAACTTCAATATACTCACTGCTTATATCCATTAAGAGATTTAATGACAATACTATGGTGACTTTTGTATTTATTGGTCAAGTCACAGGTTTACAATGCCGATTTTATTGGCACTATATTTTTCCACTGACAACGGAGCCACTGCAGGGTCAGATGGCATCTGTGGAAAAAGAGCAAACAGTAACAGCATGAGAAATGGATTAGAGATGACTCAAGGAGGAGCTGGCTTCCTGGACCTATGATCTCATCCATGCCTAATGCTTACCACTTACTTATTCAAGGAAAGTAGTAAAATGTGGCAAGAGAGGAAAGAACAGCAGAAGAAAACCATACTATTAAGGCCCTAATGTCTTTGTCATAGCATCATAGTCCTAGAATTGTAAGTGACCTTAGATCTTCTAGTTCCCCCACCCTCCTAATGAAAGAAGTCATTTTCTGGGATGCCAGTATGGTTTGGCATTTAAGAGAATGGGTCTCAAGTTTGGTAGCTTAGGCTTTATTTATTCAACAAATATTTGCTGTGTCTTGCATAGTTCTGATGGTTTGAATATAGTGGTGAACGATCAGATTAAGCCCTGGTTTTCAAATAACTCAACTTTTCGTATGAGACATAGATGCTAACAAGTAAATACAGAAGTCAGGTGATGGTTTGTGCTATGGAAAAATAGGGTGAGGGGGGTCAGGAGTGCTGTGGGGAAGAGGGACTTCTACTTTATTAGATGATCAGGGAAGTCTCAGTGATAAGGTGTTATTTGAGCAGAGACCTGAAGGAAATGGGGAACAAGCCATACAGATATCTGGGAGAAGAGGGTTGTAGGCAGAGGGAAGCAGTATGGAGGTCTTAAGTTGGGAGTGTGCTTGGTGTATCCTGTTACAGCAAAGGAGGCTGGTGTGGCTGGAAAAGTGTGTGTGTGTGTGTGTGTGTGTGTGTGTGTGTGTGTGTGTGTAGGGGGAGTAGTAGGAGATGAAGGCTAAGTCCCATGATCTTCTCTCTGCAAGCTGGAGACCCAGGAGAACCAGTGGTGTATTTCCAGTCCAAGTCTGAAGGCTTGAGAACTAAGAGAGCCAGTGGTATAAGTCCCAGTCCGAGGGCAGGAGAAAACTGATGTCCCAGCTCAGGCAGTCAGGCAGGGAGACGAATTCTTTCCTCCTTTTGTTCTTTTTAGGCCCTTAATGGATTGGATGATGCCTGCTCGCAATGGGGAGGGTAAACTGCTTTACTCAGTTTACCGATGCAAGTGCTGATTGTATTAGTCTGTTTTCACACTGCTATAAAGAATACCTGAGATCTATAAAGGAAGGAGGTTTAATTGACTCACAGTTCTGCATGGATGGGGAGGCCTCAGGAAACTTACAATCATGGTGGAAGGGGAAGCAGCCACGTCTTACATAGTAGCAGGCGAGAAAGAGAGCACCACACTTATCAAACAACCAGATCTCGTGAGAATTCACTATCATGGGAACAGCATGGGGGATACTGCCCCTATAATCTAGTCACCTCCCACCAGGTCCCTCCCTCAACATCTGGGGGTTATAATTCAAGATGAGATTTGGGTGGGGACACAGAGCCAAGCTATATCACTGATCTTATCCAGAAACACACACACACATGCCCAGAAATGAGGCATATAGGAGGCATCCTGTGGCCAAGATGACACACAAAATTAACCTTTATGCATAGAGAATAAACTACAGGGGCCAGGGTGAAAGCAAGAAGACTACTTAGAAGGCAAACGTAATAATCCAGGCCAGAGATGATAGTGGCCTGGACCAGCAGATGGTAGGGGTTAATGTCTTTGGGCAGTCTATTGGGTCATTTTCTTTCATGTAATATAGGGATAATAAGAAATCATCTCACAAGATTATATAGAAGATTACAGTAGATAATCTAGATAAATTACTTAGTACACTGCCAGAATACAGCTAGCATATATAGCTCTACTCTTTTTAGTGTGGTTATCTAGCTTTTGACTGATAATTTCCAGGATTGGGACATACCATAGTACTGACTATTCAATTATTGGAAATTTCTAAATTGAAACCATCTTTGCTCTACATTCATTTGAAACTGGTTTCTATGTAAATTCTAACTATTAGCGTTACTTCCACTCTCTAAAATAAAATTGGTTAGAATCTAATTTTACTATTCCTGGTTGAAATCTAATTCTACTCACTAGCTGCATATTATTTGAATGAAGGTTATCTTTTTTTTAGAGGGCGGACGTCAGATTACTCATGAAAAATTCTCCTATAGTGCTCAGTCCAATGTAGGAAATAGTGAGCTATCTAGTAGTGAGATAAGTAGGCCTGCTATTAGTTCCAATTCTGTCAATAACTCTATGACTCGAATCAAGTTATTTCTCTAGAATTTCCTCATTTGTAAAAATGGTGGCTTGGTTTGGAATTTTTCTTTTTCTTTCTTTCTTTTTCTTTTTTTTTTTTTTTTTCCAGACAGAATCTCATTTTGTTGCCCAGGCTGGAGTACAGTGGTGCGATCTCAGCTCACTGTGACCTTTGCCTCCTGGGTTCAAGTGATTCTCCTGCCTTAGCCTCCTGAGTAGCTGGGATTATAGGTGCCTGTCACCATGCCCGGCTAATTTTTGTACTTTTAATAGAGATGGGGTTTCACCATGTTGGTCAGCCTGGTCTGGAACTCCTGACCTCAAGTGTTCCTCCCGCCTTGGCCTCCCAAAGTGCTGGGATTACAGATGTGAGCCACTGTACCCAGCTTGAGATTTTTCTAAAACCATGATTTCTTTTTCTTCATCATTTTCTCTTCTTTAAGCTGAGAATCCTCAATTACTTTAACCAGCCAAATTGTTTTCCTATGGGAGGTTTCAGTTTGGTAAGGAAGATATATCATTCATCTTACTAGTTACTATTTTAATATGCATTTATCTTCTACATTTAGGTCCTGTAATCAAATTAGCATGATCTTATTCTATTTTGGATGGAAACATGACTGTAGTGGAAACTGTGGCATTCACTCGGATCCCTCTTCAGGGCAATGTTTCTATCCTCCATTTCCCAGGGACTGGCTTATGGAACAATGACTGATTGCTACAGGGATATAAAGGTCTTTCCCTTTCAGCTTAATGAGGTGCCGCTGCGAAGGGCCCTTCCTACCTTGAGAGTACCCTGTTGGAATGTAGGGCCAGATCAGACCCTGGCTGCAGCTGCATGGCGGGTCAGGATCTCCCTCTGCCCACTTCTATTCTCCTTACTTCCTTATAGGCATGACTTTGGTGAGAGTATACCCCATACTCTTCTAAATGGAATTCTCCATCCCTGAATCAATTTCTAGGGAACACAGTTAAAGACACAAATCCGTGAATTATTATTTTTCTTCTGGTAATGCCTCCACCTATATAGTCCAGAAAAGTGTTTTTTTTTTTTTTTTTTCTCTGCAAAATGAGCATCTCATGACCTTTACAGGGTCTGCCTTTCATCCCATTGCCTCTAAGTTAACTAATAAAGTGTGATATATTCCTTAAGTGTGTTATATTCCTGCTTTATTAGTATATTTACACAATTCTATAGAAACTGGAAAATTTGGCTAGGTGTGGTGTCTCATGCACTTTGGGAGGCCGAGGCGGGTGGATCACTTGGGGCCAGGAATTTGAGACCAGCCTAGCCACCATGGTGAGACCCTGTCTTTACTGAAAATACAAAAATTTGCCAGGCACAGTGGCGCACACCTGTAATCCCAGCTATTTGGGAGGCTGAGGCATGAGAACTGCTTGAACCCGGGAAGTGGAGGTTGCAGTGAGCTGAGATCTTGCCACTGCACTCCAGCCCGGGCACCTGAGTGAGACTGTCTCAAAAAAAAAAAAAAAAAAAAAAAAAAAACCCTGGAAAACTCTTCTTTTTCTGGGTAGATCTCTTTGAACATACTTTAACATATCTTACCTTCTTGCCATAGGTATATTAAGAAATAGTAACTTATGCCCTCCCCCACCCTCTTGGGTTGACAGAATTCTTTTGGGACAAACTTCACTTGCATAACCTTTTTTTTTTTTTTTTTTTACTTTTTGAGATGGAGTTTTGCTCTTGTCCCCCAGGCTGGAGTGCAATGGCACGATCTTGACTCATTGCAACCTCCGCCTCCTGGGTTCACGCAGTTCTCCTGCCTCAGCCTCCTGAGTAGCTGGGATTACAGGCAGGTGCCATCATGCTGGCTAATTTTTGTATTTTTAGTAGAGATGGGATTTCACCTTGTTGGCCAAGCTGGTCTCGATGTCCTGACCTCAAGTGACCTGCCCGCCTTGTCTTCCCAAACTGTTAGGATTACAGGCGTGAGCCACTGCGCCCCGGCCTACATAACATTTTTTACTTCGATCATAGGCGTAACAAGTACTTTAGGCTTGGTATTCGGGTAAGGGGTGATGTTATAATGTGGAACAGAATTTTATTTCTTTTTACAAAGGAAGTTGTGAAAAGATAGTTTGGTGATCTGTGCTTGTATGTTGTGTAGACTTTTCCCCCCTTAAGCATGCCTTTGCCAAAGTTTAATTCTTCAAACCACATATCAGAATGTAATAGGCTGGCCAAACATGCAAATCATGACCAGAGAGCAGGCAAAAGTTGGTTTCTGATGAGAGAACTTTTCCATTGTTGCCACTAAGTCACCAAAGTTTATGTATTTCTTCTTTTGAAGTTGCACCCTTATTCCAATATTCTCTAAGTCTATTCCCACCTTTGTCCAGACTCTACTGATCCATTTGGTACTAGTGTGTGCCAGGCATGGTGTTAATTGTGGAGCAAGTGGCAGTCATCAGACACAACCAGCCCTGCTGTTATGTGGGCAGTAGACCCTCTGATAAAGGAAGTACAATATGTTATAAAGCATACAGAAACCCACCTAAAATAGACTCAGGGAGGTAGGAGGTTTCCTAAGGGCTGAGACTGAAAGATAATAGGGATTGCTTGATGGCATTGTTGATGGGGCTGTGGGTGAGAACAGTGCTCCAGGGAAAAGAGGCCAGCCACATGTGAGAACACAGAATCAGGGAAGAGTGACCTGCTGAGGAACCAAACCGGAAGATGTTCCTGGGACACATTGTTGGAAGTGTGGGTGTGCTCAGGCAGGAGGCCAGAGAGGCAAGCAGAGACTAGATGGAGGGCCTGGTATGCTGTGTTAAAAAAACATTATGGAGCCACTGGAAGGCTTTGTTTGGGAATGAGATAGGGAGGATGGCGTCGGTACAGGATAGAGAATGGACTGAAAGTGGGCAAGGCTGGAGCAGGAGGAGGGAACCATGGCAGGCTGAAGCAGAGCTCGGAGAACAATGTCCTTATCAACTTAGGATACATGTGTATGGCAGACTGCAGTTTTGATGCCTGGAGTATTTAAATTATTTTTGTGCCCCAATTTCTCTTTTTTCCTATCCATTTGGGATACTGTCAGCTTTCTTTTCTTTTTTTTTCTTCTTTTCTTTTCTTTTTTTTTGAGACGGAGTCTCATTCTGTTGCCAGGCTGGAGTGCAGTGGCGTGATCTCTGCTCACTGCAACCTCCGCCTCCCGGGTTCAAGCAGTTCTCCTACCTCAGCCTCCTGAGTAGCTGGGACTACAGGCACGTGCCACCACTCCCAGGGAATTTTTGTATTTTTAGTAGAGACGGGATTTCACCATGTTAGCCAGGATGGTCTCGATCTCCTGATCTTATGATCTGCCTGCCTCGGCCTCCCAAAGTGCTGGGATTACAGGAATAAGCCACCGTGCCCAGTGAAAGTACATTTTTAAAAATCATGGCTAGTACTCATAGAAGAAATAGGACCCTAAAGTACAAAATAATCATGTTTCAGGGCTCTCTTGGTTTATTACATTGAAGATAATTTTTAATTATAAATGTAACACATGCTAATTTAAAAATAAACCAAAAAACCTCAAAAAGCATGTGCATGATTCATATATATATATATATATATATATATATATATATATTTTTTTTTTTTTTTTTTTTTTTTGAGACGGAGTTGTGCCCTGTCGCTCAGGGTGGAGTACAGTGGTGTGATCTCGGCTCATTGCAATCTCTGCCTCCTGGGTTCAAGTGATTCTTCTGCCTCAGCCTCCCAAGTAGCTGGGATTACAAACATGCGCCACCGCACCCAACTAATTTTTGTATTTTTAGTACAGAGGGGGTTGGCCAGGCTGGTCTCGAGCTCCTGACCTCAGGTGATCTGTCCACCTCAGCCTCCCAAAGTGCTGGGATTACAGGCGTGAGCCACCACGCCCAGCCCACCTGTACTTTCTTCTAGACTCTTTCCCTGTGTACTTACGCACATCACTTAATAGAGAAATGGGATCTTTAACTACAGATACTTTTAACTTGAGTTTTACAAACATAGTACATTGTGGACAAGTTTCTGTGCAAAAATATACAGACCAACCTTCCTTTTTAAGTATTGTATAGTGTTCTATGATATGGTTGTATGAAAATTTATTTAACTGGGCCCCTCCTAAATAATGGATTTTAAGGTTGTTTCTAGTTTTTGCTATTATGAATACATTTTTTTTACTTATATAAATGTGAAAATACCTGTCCTTAGGATAACTTTTTAGAAATAGAATTGCCTAACCAAAATAGATGTACATTTTAAATCAGTATGTGTTACCAAATTACTGTTCCAAACTGTTGCACCAGCTTGGCAACTCCACCAACAGAGTAGGAACAGAGGCCTCTCTTTTGACACTCCGGGTATTTTCCAACTTTTCACCTTCTGTAATCTGGTATGTGAAAAGAACATATCTCATGGTTTAATCCATACTTCCTCTTTTTAGGAGGAAGCAAATTGTTGTAAGAGAAGCTCATCTCATGAATCTATCTTTAAAAAACATACAGTATGCTCAGTGCCAGTATAGTTTCAACTGATTTTATACCTTGGTATTAATAGTAATCAAGTTAGAAAAAAATGGGCCATATCTAGAAAAGTATATTACACATAGAAGACATGAATGAATGAAAAAATGGTGGTGTTCAGACTGAGGGAGATGCCTTATCACACAAAAAAATTCATGTCCAGTGACAAAATGTTACTAAGTAGGTAAAGGAGGTTTAAAAAATTTAGGCAAGTTGAAAAAGGGTGGTGAGTTAACTAGAAAATTCAGTTTTTTAAAATCCCATTTTCTGTATATTTCAGTTCATTAAAGATTGGTTATATAAGGCTTATCTATGTGGATTCCAGATATGCAGTGTACCCCTTGGAATCAGGTGAGACACAGTGCCTCATTTCCATGGAAATACATGGCTCTGTGTTAACTGAAAGCCTCCATGGTTTTGAATCATTTCCCACCCACAGTAAGGAGGTCTTTTTGGTTTGACTCTTCTGGAAAATATGTGTGAGGTATTTACTACATGAATGTAGGGTATTTTTTCAATCTGCTTAAACCTCATTTTATTCATCTGTTTAAAAAAATTACGGAAGGAAAAGCAAGGGCATTTGAGTACCTTTCATATAATATGTAATATGCAAGGGTACTATTTTTTCCCCCATTTACTCTTCCAGTTTACAGATAAACCAATTCAGAGTTAAATAACTTGCCCAGGATCTGTAATGTTAATCCCTACATCATAGTGTCGTTTGGAAGAAATAAAAACAAGCTCTGTGAAAATATATAATGTATGGCCTAGCACATAGTATGTGGTTCCTAAATTTTTTTTGTTAGCATGAAAATGGATGAAGGCCCATATTTGGCTTTTGTGATCTTAACCTGAAATGTCTAAAGCTTGACAATAGCCTATAAAATGCAAAATTGACAACTGGCTACTGATTTTATATACGTAAAAGTTTAGTCAGTACAAAACAAATGTAAAGAACTACTGGTTTAAAAAATCCAAGGAGTTTTTCAGAGAACAGAAAGTATGTAATCAGAATATAGTGGTGGCCATGGCCTCATATTAGAGATTGAGCATGAACATGAGTGTTCTGTGAACTTTCCACTGTGTGATTTCGGGTAAGTTATTTGAGGAAACCAAGGCCGAGACATTCAGAGGTCTGATTTACACAACTGGAAGTTCCCAGTGCATTTAGCATATTTTCAGATGTTGAAACTGAAGTCAAGGTTCAAGGCCAGGCATTCTGCCTCAATGACTGATGTTCTCCCACCCTCCAGGCGCATTGTGTCTGTGGAAGTTACTGGTGTTCTTAAGAGGACCTCAGTCTGACGGTTGTTTCCAAGTGATTCTTCTGTGTTGAGGGTGTTTAATGCATGGGTTACTGCAGAGCACAGAGACCTTTTCTGCAAATGGAAAAAAATATTATAGCTTAACATCTGCTTTCCCTAGGTAATGTGTTAATTAAAGATTGTTTTAATATGGAATGATGTCTAGCCTTTGAAAAACTTTATCTTACGGTTTATGGTATTGATAACCTTCAGAAAAGGAAGACTGGTTCAAATTATGTCAATTAATATGAAAAAAGCCCACTCAATATGAAGCCCCTTGACTTCTAAAAACTTGCTTTTTAGAAAATGTTAAAAAAAATTCCAGGTTTTGCAGGATAAATCCTCGGGGGAATATTGTGAGGTGAGGAATAGTCGTGGTCTTGATGCAATGTAACTTATAATTAGAAAGATGCTGATTTTGCTGTGGAGTCATTGAATATCATTATTTCAAAATAATTTTGAATAAAATGAGATTTCTAATAACCAACCTAGTCATTGTCCAACCTTTTCTACTTTTTCAGAGTTCAGTTCTCTTAAATCTAAGAGATTCTCTTTTGTAATGTAGCTCAAGAGGAAGTTTAAGGGTTAGGTCTATTCTTAACTGATGTCCCTTGTTCCTATCATTCCATGTATAGAAATAATATCTTCTTGAGGAAACTGTTAAGCGTCACTCTTTCCCAACTTTTGGGTCATTAATATGAGCTATTTTGCATGCTGGCTTTGTAGGTTATATCCTGTAGGAAAAAATGTTGGTGATGAGTTAGCTTTATTCTGTCACTTATACAGTGTTAATATTCTTTTAAAATTTCAAAAATTCAGATAGTTATTAATATTGCTACCACTAGTTTTATTTAAAAATGTTTTAATTTGTATAGATACGTAGTAGGTATATATATGATTAGTTTTAATTAAGATATTATTTCATTATAATTTATTCAAACTGGTTTAAATACTGAGACAGATTTTATTTAAAATATAGGATTTCTGCTTTTAAGCAGTATTAAAATCTGAGATTTGATGAATGGTATAAATTTTATCTTTTGCTTTTAGTTTTAAAATATTGTACAACATCCTGTTTCTATTCTTGAAGGTGAAAAAGAACAAAAACTTTTAAAAAGATGGAAAAAATTGTACAACAGTTTGTTATGAAACAAGATAAAGATTTTTACAACAAATACCTGTAGAGTTATCCCTTGGTATCTTCAGGATATTGGTTCCAAGCCCCTTCCCACTCCCCACCCCAAAGATACCCAAATTCATGAATGCTCAAGTCCCTTATATAGAATGGTGTAGTATTTGCATGTAACCTATGTACATCCTCCCATATACTTTAAATCATCTTTAGGTAACTTATAATATCTAATACAATGTAAATCTATATAAATGGGTTTTCTACTGTATTTTTTGTGTATTTCTTATTGTGATTTTAAAAATATATTTTCTGTCCGTGGTTGGTTGAATCCATGGATGTGAAATCTGAGGACGGGGGGCTGACCGTATACCAACTATCTCTTAGATTGTGCCTAAGTCCTTTTGTGTTGATATAACAAAATACGCGAGACTAGGTAATTTATCAACAACAGAAATCCACTACTCATAGTTCTGAAGGCTGGAAAGTCCAATATCAACGTGCTGGCAGGATTGGTGTCCCGTGATGGCGGCTCTCTGCTTCCAAGATGGCGTCTTACTGTTGCTTCCTCTGGAGGGGAGAAATTCTGTGTCCTCACGTGACAGAAGAGATGGAAGGGCAAGAGAGCACTCCCTTTAACCTTGAGCCCTTTCATAAGGGTGCCAGTTCCATTCATGAGAGTGGGGTCTTCGTGACTTAATCACCTCCCGTGGGGGTTCAGTTTTAACGTAAATTTTGAAGGGGACACCATCATTCAAATCATAGCGGATTCTAACATTAACTTTTTGCTTGCTTTATCACATATCTCTCCGTCTGTTTAGCCTGCTGTCCTTTGCATGGTGTAGTTTAATATTCATTCTGCATTCTCTAGTGGAATGTGAGTACTCAATGTGTTTGCTTAGATTGGGTTGAATGGTTATATTTTATTCAGGTGACTAGCATAGCCGTACCTCATGGTTGAAGGGGTTTCTTGAACCTTTACTAACTTGGGTTTTGTTTTTTTTTTCTGTGTTGCTGGGACCTTAAGTGCACTTTTAGAGATTCAGAAGCGCTAACAGTTCAAGCAGAGACTCTAATAGTAGGAGGAAGAATGAAATGACAAATGAATTCAGTGGAATCTGGCTATGCTGAATCCGTGGTATGCTTATTCTCACTGCCTGTGCTGGGTCTGTGTGCTAAGGCTTTGGTGTCAGCTGAGGGCTTACAGTTCTGAAGGCTAATGTTTCTTTGGAGAAAGTAGAAGGATGTAAACTTGGCAAGCCTTCTTGTTTTCTTTCTCCTGGAATGGTCAGTTACTTTTCTGAGCATACTGTGTCATAAGATAGCACCTGGGCCAGAGGGATCTCTTTGGGATTAGTATAAAAAGTGGGGCCTCCTTCTGTTAAGAAAGGCAGCACAAGTGGGACAAAAGGAAACTCCTCTGAAAGGTTAATGGATGAGTGATTGAATTACTCAAATTGGAAGCAGATTTTTCCAACGCTAGTGCCAGTTCACTGCTCTGATTGGAATGTTCTTCCATTTTAGCAAATTTGTTTGGCTTTCTTGTGAAGCCTGGACCAGGCTGCAGCATTTCCAATGGGTTTCTCTTCAGAGCTATTTCTGTCATAGAGTTTCTTAATTTAGATATTTCATGATCATTTGAGATAAAGATAGACGTGTTTGATCACTCTTGGTTGGTGGGAACTGGAGGTACTTTTGATTGGAGTCCAGATTTAATCTCCCATATTGAATGACTGTCCTCAAACTTACAAGGTGGATCTTAGTAATCTTTTCCAGAAAATGTAACGGCACTATTTTGGGCTAAAGTATTTAAAGGCTCTCAATCAGAGTTTTAAATTTTGCATATATAATTTCCCCCTTAAGCTTCCTTTGCTGTTTCTTTTGGAACTAGCTGAATGCTTGTATTCTCTATGGAGAGGTTGGGTAGAAAAGAGTGATGAGGGGCATAAAAGTATCTTCCCTGATTAGAATGGAGGGCATGGGTGGTACTGAACTAGTGGTGCTTAGACTTGGTTGCAAATGGGAATCACTTCAAGAGTTTAAAAATATTGATAACAGTTCAGCAAGGTGGCAGAATATAAGATCAATGTACAGAATCAATTGTATTTCCATATACTAGTAAGAAATAATATAATTGCATTAATAAGAAAATAATTCCATTTACAATATCATTAAAAGGAATAAAATATTTAGGGATAAATTTACCAAAGTAGAAAATTCTCTGAAAACTGCAAAATACTCTAGAAAGAAATTTTAAAAGACTAAATAAAAGATATCCCATCTTCATGGATTGGAAGACTTGTTAAGGTGGCAGTACTCCCCAAATGGATTTACAGATTCAACACACCTCTTGTAAAAATTCCGACTAAATTCTAGGCTTATCCCAAAATTCCTATGGAAATTTGAGCAACCTAGAATGGTGAAACAATCTGGAAAAAGAACAGAGTTGGAGAGCTCTATTCCTCATTTCAAAACTGATTACAGAGCGACAGTAATCAAAACATTGTGATACTGTCATGAGGATGGACAGATAGATCAATGGAATAGAATTGAGAGTCCATAAATAAATAAATAAATCTTATTTTTTGTCATTTGATTTTCAACAAGGGTGCCAAGACAATTCAAAGAGGAAAGAAATGTTTTTCAGCAAATGGTGCTGGACAACTGGATATCTGTTTGCAAAAGAATTAAGATGTCTGTGATCTTCCTCATACCACAGACAAACATTAACAAAAATGGACCATACACCTATAACAGCTGAAACTATAGAACTCTTAGAAGAAGAAAACATAGGAAAATAGAAAAATTTTCATGATCTTGGGTTAGGCAAGACATTCTTAGATGTGACACCAAAAGCATAAGCGACAAAAGAAAAAGCAGATAAATTGGACTTCATCAAAATTAAAGACCTTTTTGCTTCAATGGACATCATCAAGAAAGTTAAAAGATAACTCACAGAATGGGAGGAAATATTTGCAAGTCATATCTCATAAGGGATACAGCTAGAATATATAAAGAATTCTTACAACTCAGTAATGAAAACACAAATAACTCAGTTACAAATAGATGAAAGTATAGATAGTTCTGAATAGGGACTTCTTCAGAGATGATGTACAAATTACCAATAAGCATGTGAAAAGATGCTCAAAATCACTAGCCAACAGGGCAATGCAAATCGAAACCACAATGATATTCGACTTCACATTAAGATGGCTATAATAAAAAAGACAGAAAATAACGAGTTTTG
The DNA here is from genome assembly GCF_000001405.40 of Homo sapiens. Classification (NCBI taxonomy): domain Eukaryota; kingdom Metazoa; phylum Chordata; class Mammalia; order Primates; family Hominidae; genus Homo; species Homo sapiens. Next base: position 18,418,095 of record NC_000006.12, read on the forward strand.
ATGAGAATTTAAAGAAGTTGAAACTCTCATACACTGCTGGTGGGAATGGAAAATGATGCAATTGCTTTGGAAAATCATCTAGCAGTTCCTCAAAAGGCAAAGATAGAGTTACCATATACCATACCTACTCCTAGGTAAATATCCAAGAGAAACGAAAATGTATGTCCACATGAAAACTTGCTCATAGCAGCATAATTCATAATACCACTCAACTGGAAACAACCCAAATGTCCATCAACTGATGAAAGTATAAACAAAATGTGGTATATTCACACAATGGCATACTATTCAGCAATAAAATAAATGAAGTACCAATACATGCTACAACATGTATGAATCTTGAAAACATTATGCTAAGTGAAGCCATTGACAAAGGACCATATATTGTATCATTCCATTTATATGAAATGTAGAGAGTAGGAAGATCTATACATACAGAAAGTCAAATGGTGGTTCCCTAGGGCTGTGCATGGAGGATCTGGGGGAGAAATGGGGAGCATGTACTAATGGGCACAGAGTTTCTTTTGGGATTATGAAATGTTCTAAAATCAAATTTGGTGATAGTTATACACTGTGAATATACTAAAAATACTGAATTGTACACTTTAGATGGGTGCATTGTATGGGTACGTGAATTATATCTCAGTTATAGATATCTGAATTATATCTCAATAAAACATGACATAATATAAAATATATAATATTTACATATCATATATAATAATGCTATATATATAATATACACTGACACCTGGATCCTTCTCTTAGAGAGTCTGAATTAATTGGTCTGTGGTATGGCCTGGGCATTGGACTTCTGGAAACCTTCCCAGATAATTCTATTAAAAAGCTGATGTGGAGAATCTTTGACATGGGTCTTGGTACTTACAAGTGTGGTTTGTGTGCCAGTGGCACCAACGAGACCTGGGAACTTACAAGGAGGGCAAAACCTCAGACCCCACCCAAGATCCACTGAATCAGAATCTGCATTTTTGATGGGATCCTCAAATAACTTGGATGGACATTCAAGTTTGAGAAACATTGTCAGTAAGGTAGTTGAATAGTAAGGCAGGCGAATGTTATCTCTGAAGTTCCTTATCCTCTGTCCATCCACCCCTCCTCCTCCTGCCTATGGCTTTTTATTAAGGATACCCTTCCCAGTAGTGTCCCATATCTTCCAGTGTTTCTTGTCCATAAAAACATACCAGGCTTAGATCATTTTCTTCGGGGGCACTGCTCTCTGCTAGGGAACCACTGGCCTTTTGGGATATATTCTCCTGAGAGCAAATAGGCAGTGGACTAGCACAACTGGTTCTATATAGCAAATGAGGCGACCCAGGAAGAAAGTGTAGAAAGAAGAGAGTTTAGGTCCTTTCCTGAAATTCCAGCATTTAAAAGTTGAGTTGAGGAAAATGCAGAAGATTGAGAAAGAGTGACTAGAGAGGAAGAATGAAAACCAGAAGAGTATGGGATCCAGAAGACAAGGGGAAAAAGGGTTTCAGGAAGGTGGGAGTGGTTAGCTGTGTGTGATACTGCTGTTGAGAGGTTGGGAAGGAAGAAATGTGTACTGGATTCAGTGACCTAGAGCCACTTCAGTTGAGTGGCAGGGAGGAGTTGGGATGGGATTGGTGAAGGAGTGAGGGAAGACAACTCTTTCAAACATTTGATTGTGAAGAGTTGAGGAGTGAAGAAGGCAGTATACAGCCAGGAAGAGGAGTGAGAGAGGGCTGTTCTATGCTGTTTTATTATGACTTTTCTTTGATTTCTTTGATTAGGATATTTTGAACATGTTCAAGTATAGACAGGACAAAATTCAAGACATAGGAAAGAAAACAGGTAATGAATAGGTAAATTTCCTGAAAGGCAGGAGGAGATGGGAACCAGAAAAGCAGAGTTGGCTCCTATGTGTCAAGAAAAGAAGAACAGAGGATGGATGTGTGTTTGGGTGGGTTCATATGTTTCAGTTATCAGAGGTGAAGGAGCTTGGCCACAAAGTTGAGCACAGACTGAGTATCCCCTATCTCCTTATCTGAAATGCTTGGGACCAGTAGTGTTTCGGGTTTCTGATTTTTTTTTTGATTTTGGAATATTTGCATTATACTTACTAGTCTACCATCTCTAATCTGAAAATCTAAAGTCTAAAATCCTCCAATAAGCATTTCCTTTGAGCACCATATTGGTGCTTAAAAAGTTTTGGATTTTGGAGCATTTCAGATTTTGGATTTTCAGATTAGGGATACTCAACCAGTAAGTGCTGGATTCAGGCTTCCAGCTCTCAGAGAAGCCTGAGTGTCTACTATGTGCCAGGTCCTGTGATTGATTAGGTGCTTGTAGGGGACATGAAGAGGAGCAGATATAATCTAGATCTAGAAGGAGCTTCTAGGCTATAGAGGAGGCAGGCAAGTTGATAGTCATTTGCAATGCAGCATGCTGGGCGTGCTACATTGCTCATGTGTACAATAAACATCTGGTGTTACCTACGGTCATCATAGAAAGGTTGGCAAGTAGAGGAGGAAAAGCCAAGTCTTCTGGAGAATTTGGGGAGCGGGGGAGGTTGCATCATTTATAAAATTCCTTCTGGATAGTCTGATATTCTAGTATGTCCCCAAGTGAGAAGGCAATACCACCAGCCTCACTGCTATTGAGAATCAGTCCATTCTCCCTCCTTTTGATGATTTTATGTGGCTTCCTTTTGAAGGGGAAAAGAATTGGAACTTAATATCAAACTATTTTAAAATTTCCTTTATTAGAGTCTTACGAAAACTTATACAAACATGATACTAAGTAGTATATAAGCATATTTAGGCATATATCTCTTAAAGAATAAGAACACCACAATAATTATACAAACTTAATATTGATTAAAATTACAGACCAATAAGGCCAGGCATAGTGGCTCATGCCTGAGATCTTAGCACTATGGGAGGCTGAGGCAGACAGATCACTTGAGCTCAGGAGTTCAAGATCAGCCTGAGCAACATGGCGAAACTCTGTCTCTACCAAAAATACAAAATAGCCTGGCATGGTGGTGCGCACCTGTGGTCCCAGCTACTCAGAGGCTGAGGTGAGAAGATTGCTTGACCCCAGGAGGCAGAGGTTGCAGTGAGCTGAGATCGTACCACTTCACTCCAGCCTGGGTGACAGAGTGAGAAACCATCTCAAAAAAAAAAATTATATATTATACACACACACACACACACACACACACACACACACACACACACATATATATAAAATAAAATTACAGACCAATAAAATGTAAGTTAACATTAATGTGATGAGTGATGTTTAACTTTGGGTAAATTGCTTTTTCCAGTTAGGCTCTGAGTTTGATGTGTTCCAATGACTAAGTGGTAATTCAGTGATCTTGTCACCTTTCTCTGTTGGAATCACTAAAAATTTTGACGTGTTCAGCATTCACTGGGCCCAGATTCTTCTCTTCTTTTTTTCATTTGCCTGTGACAATGATAGCACCCCTACGTGGCAAAGCAGGGTGGCACCACAGACCAAGGGTTAGCACGGACACTGGGTGGAAACAGGAAATTTCCTGAGGTGGTTCCAGGCATGCTTTTATTAAGAGCATTGAATAAACATAAAATGGGGAAAATCTTGCCATGAAGAACTCTTGGGTTCCCAAGAATACACCTTTGCACGCAGTTTGAAAAATACAGTGCGAGCTGGGCCTTAGGGTGCTATGAGGGCAGACGGGCTGGGTGTGCTGCCACACTAGGGGATGAGGCAGGGAAGGCTTCTGGAATGAAAAGGGATGAGGGACGAGAACTGTCAAACCAAGGTCTCTTTTAAACTGTGCTTATTTATGGCTTGCTGTTTGATTTGGTGCTTTTTCCTTTAATCATTTGGTGCCAGGTTTTCCTATCAGTCCTTTCATGTCCTATATGGTTGGCCAACACCTACAAGGGGGAGGTTGGTCACCTAAGTAATCTCATATTGGTGAAAAAGCCAAGGTATCTGAAAGGGGTTTTGTAAGAAAAATTTTAGGATCGGACTATACCAGGAAACAGCTTCCTGCCTAGCTATAGGTTGTTAATTTGTCTGAATATTTTCAAACCAGGATGCTTTTGGTGTGTTGGATAGGCTTTTGAGTAGGGAGAGATACTATCTTGAATTGTGCTAATAATTTAACTCAACAGCATCTAACAAAGGCAGTCTTATTCTTGGATCATGTGTACAGATCATAGTCTGAAGTGGAATAAGCAGAATGTTGTTCTCAGTGTGAGATGTTATTTAGAACACACTGGAAACATTGTGATGTCATTGTGCACTGAGGCAGGGAAATGTTAGTCTACATTTTATGGAATATGTACTTCAGTGTTTGCATTGTACCTGGAGTGATAAAAAGCAAAACAGGTACTCAAGACCTGTCTGGGCTTTGGCCTTTGGGCACATTCCCCCTCATCACCTTCCTTCCCACTTGGCTGAGCTATGGATGAGAAAACCTAGGTCAATAGTTCACCAACTCACCTTCAAGCCAGGTGGGCTGACAAGTCCTCCTTTGACCACAGGACCCCAGCGCCTGCATCCAGAAGCATCTAAGATCCTGGAAGTCAACTTAAATTTTCAATGAATGGGCCAGTTGCAGTGGCTCACACCTGTAATCCCAGCACTTTGGGAAGCTGAGGCGACAGGATTCTTTGAGCCCAGGAGTTTGAGACCAGCCTGCTTGGGCAACATAGACCCAATTTCAATCAATCAATCAATAGTCGAGTGTAGTGGCAGGCATCTGTAGCCTCAGCTACTGAGGAGCTGAGGTGGGAGGATCACTGAACCCAGGAGTTTGAGGTTTGCAATGAGCCATAATTGTGCCACTGCACCCTGGGCAACAGAGCAAGACCCAGTCTCAAAAAAAAAAAAAAATCAACTAATGGCACTCATTACCTCCTTCCTCTCAACAGTACCTATTCTCTTACCTATTCACCTCACCCTCATGAAGCTTTTCTAAGGTTCCTATTTGTCTGTGGACTTTCATTTCTGCATGCCTGCCTATTCAGAAACATCTATTCCATTCTCCAATTATACTTTACGTTTGCATACCTCTTTTCACTTTTCAAAGTGAATGGGGGACTCTCCATTTTCCCTGAGAGCAGCTTAGACAGGTGATATTGTCCCATTTTATAAATGAGAGCACTGTAGCTAGAGAGGTTAATGACTGGCTCAAGATGTAGAGGAGACTTTAGAGCTTGTGCTTCAACCTACATGGCTGGAATCCAGTTTCATTGGCTATAGATTATAATGCTTTATTTTTTCTTAGAAAAAAAAACTTTAGGTAGGGCATAATTTAGTGATAGAGAATGAGGAACTATATAGTACGTTTTTAAAAATATACATATATTCCCTGCCCACTCCTGTGATTTGTTCTTGGGTAGGTACATAGTAGCTTTGTCTTAACACTGTGACCCTTTTTGCCATGTCCATCATAATAGGTGAGAACACCTTATATGAAGAATGCCTGTGACTTTGGTACATCGGAATCTGATACCCTTGAAAGGGGTCTAGGAGACACCTGTTTCTGAGTAGATTCCATTGCATACAATTCATAGACTCTCAGAGTTGGAAGAGACAATATGAGTCGTCTGGTTCACCAGGTGTTTGGTTACATTTTTGGTTAGATCCCATATGAATCCTTAAAGGTTGTGGAGTGAGTTTGACGAACAATCCTTATTATTTTGCATGACCCTTCATGGCCTAAAAATAATTCTGTGTTTTACCAAACTAAGTAAAATGTTGACTATACAAAAGAAAAAGGTTTTTTTCCCTTGGGTCATTTGGGTTTTGAGATGTTCTATTTGAAACATTTTCCTTACAATTTGTTACCTGTTAAGAAAATTGCTTATTTAAATATCTGTTGAATGCTACTTAATAAATGTAACTTTCAAAATGTGACTAAATGGTGGTAGTTTTCTTTGTTAATAGTGATTATTTTATTTTGCCATTGTTGCATTGCTATAATTTGTTTTCATTTTCTTTGTTTCTCTCTTTATAAGCTAGATGCCAGTTTTCCCCCCTAGAATTGTTAACCATTTACCTGTGTTTTGTATGACATGCACATGGGATTCATGTGAACGTTTTCACTTATTTTGCACTTTTTAGCCAGAGATACAGAAGAAGAGAGGGACACTCGAGATTAAATGTTTTAGTGAAAGTTAATGGGCAGCATATAACAAGCCTGGGGTACTTGAAAATTCAGTAAAAAGCAATAACTAGGGCTGGTTGTTTTCCCTCTTTGCCTTTGAATAGAAATGCATGCCCACACTGATGGAATGTCAAGTGCCTGTGCTGTAGGACTACTTAGCAACCTGCCCTTACAAATCTCTATCTTGAACCAGTGTTTCTTAGCATTAAAAACAAAGGGTATGTGTACTTAAACCCTGGAGTCAGTGTACAGAGGTCTAACTTCTCACCCAAAATCGTGGGTCATATAATATTGTGGCCAGGAGAGTGCTTATAGGAAGTTTCAAAATTCATTTAGTTGATATATTGTGGTTTGTAGTGTACCTAGGAACATTACATTATTAGTAAGAGGCACATCCATTATAAGCTCTTGGGAAGGTGTATATTTCAACTTAACACATTTGCAGTTATATTTGAAATGAATGTGTTTGCCTATAAGGACTCACTTAGTATCTTTAGTTCCTATTTAATGCTAAACTTATTCTGTAGACCCAAATATTTCTAAGAGCCTTGCATAGAGGCACCTGGGATATTCTGTTACAAATATCTGTTCTGTCTACACAGCTTCTCCACCTTAAGTGGTTTAACTGGTGCTTTGCAGGGAGTGGAGAAAGGATATCTCAGAAGGTCAAAGGATTAACATTTTCCCACAAAGTCTTTGATGGAAAGTCTAAGACCAGGAGAAGAGGAGTAATAACATGACCTATTATTCTGTAATTTGCAAATTCATGAAGGGCTTCCATATATAAATTTCACGTGTATGTGTGTATGTGTGGGTGTGTGTGTGTGTGTGTTAAAACCTGTGAGGTAACTATAACAGGTATTATTGTCCCTACTTTTTAAATTAAGGAAAGCAAGTCTAGGTCATAGGCTAAGTCATTTTCCCATTGTCACCTAGTAAAGTGGACCCTCCACCCAGGTGTTAGGATCTGAAGTTCTTTGCATTGTTCACTTTGTTTTCCTCAAACACCTTCCCCTTGAGCCTGGAGACTATATCTTTCAGTCTTTTTACTTAAATTTCTTTAAGTGGCTGCTGGGGGTCAGTGGGAAGATCAAGGCAGTAACAATGGAACAGGTGTGGCTGATGGAAGGCTGAGATGTCCTCAGCAGCAGAACAGGATGGACAGGCTTTCACACTGTTTATTCATTTGTCCCCTGGCAAAACACTCCTTTTGGTGAGCCGCCTTGACTGTTCCCCTGGGTGTTCGCCTGCCCATTGACATTCTTCCCCATATTTCCTTGCTGCTGCTCTCTTCTATGTCCCACTGCTGCTGCTGCTGGATACCATGTTTGGCACAGTAAATCCTAGAGCAAGTGATTTTTCACCCTTCTGTTGAACAAGGAAGTCAGGGTTAAAACACAGTAATTATATGGCGGTCAAGTGCAAGAGAGGAGTGACTGCAGAGGATCCCTGTTCCCAGATACCTTTTATTCCTGAATTTATACTAAATCATGAGCATTTGTGCATGTCTTTTAAATATCATTTGAAGACTCTTTTCATGATTCTGCACATTCTATCGCATAAATTTAGCAACATTTATTTCAGTGTTCTATTTTGGGTATTTAGGTTATTTTCTAGTTTTTGCTGTGATGAATATTATAGAAAAAATTAACTCCTTGGAGAAAAAAACTGTTAACTATTTGAAGAGATACAAGTCTGGTTTAAATGGTTTGCCCTAGTCATTGATTCATCAGTACATTGTAAGTTATTTATAACCAGATAAATACATGATTAGTTTTCTGAAGTAATATAATAGTGATACTAGTTTTATTTTCAGGTGGAAAAAATGAGTAAAGATGGTCAATAACAGGGATAGATTTCACAATTACATCATCAATATTCTGACCCTAGAATTTTACTTTTGGCTCATGCTTTTATAAAAAGTTGGTGCAACAGCAATATTTTTAATGCAGTAAGTTGATACATAAATGTATAAATCTGAAAAATCTAAACCCAGTTGTAAATAATCACCACTTTGTAAGAGTCGTTGCTTCAGTGGCTGGCTTAAGTATTTTTGGTGGAATGTACTCCTCAACATTTGAACTTGACTTTTTTTTGGTCATGCATGTAGAAAAGGTTTACCGATTATGAGCAAATTAGTAGAAGTTGAAGAACCAATTACTTAGAGGTTTATTTCCTGGAACTACTGCCTTCAATTTCTTGTGCAGTTGCATAGAGAGGAATAGGGTGAGGCATTACAGGTTTCCATAAAGCTATCAGTCCCTCTCTTAACTTTTCAGTCAGACTCACATCTTCACCCACTGTCCAACATCCAGACACAACAGGCAGTGAGCAGACCAACTTTGTTCCTGGTGTTCTCCCTCTTCTCTCTGGGTTTCTTTTTTCTTTTCAGTTTCTTCTCTGGGCTTCTTTTTTTCTATTCAGTTTCTTCTCTGGTTTTCTTTTTTCTATTCAGTTTCTTCTGTGGGTTTCTTTTTCTATTCAATTTCTTCTCTGAGTTTCTTTTTTCTATTCAATGTCTTCTCTGGGTTTCATTTTTTCTATTCAATGTCTTCTCTGGGTTTCATTTTTTCTATTCAATTTCTTCTCTGGGTTTCTTTTTTCTATTCAATTTCTTCTCTGGGTTTATTTTTTTCTATTTAATTTCTTCTTTCCCCAGGGGACCAGTGCCTTTTTTCCTACTCCAACCTCCTTAACATGGCATCCACCAAGGCCCATATTTTTGAGGTCTCATTGTCTTTGGGATAATGTCTTTGGGACAATGTGTCTCTTGTCTTTGGGAAGCAAGTTATCTTTGCTGTCCCCAGTCAGCAGGAAGTCACCTGACTTTCCCAAATTTGACATTATCTTTTCCAGGTATGTTTGCTTTTAAGCGTGGTCCTAGAAATGTCACTGCCTTAAGCTTACTTTGATTGTGTGGCTAGCTCAGTGCAAGGGTCACAGCGTTCTGTTCTAGTTTTGGGTAAACTTTGATGGAGAGGACCACTAGGTAAAAATGGAATTAGGAACTCATATTTTTTTTTTTAAAGGAGGGGGCCTTTAGGGTTAGAAAATAGTGTTTTTTCTTTTCCTGATCTATGGTGGCTGAAATGTGTGAGCATAGGGAAATCTGACTTGAATAAACTCTTAAGATGAAGTCATACATAATTAATTGCCTGTCTCTGCATTCTTTCCAAAGTGATGGCTCTTAGTATTCACACTTGTGATAACTTATGTTTCTTGAGTACAAGAGCCTCAGGACAGCCAATTAAGGAAGAAGACACAGTGGTGGTTCTGTTATGTAACCTTTCTGCTACTGTAATGGAATGGGCAATTGTCTTTTTTTTCTTAACTTCCAGTGCCTGAAACAGTACATGCAGCTGGCAATCCGAGAAGGATGTGGGTCTCCCATCACTTGCCCTGACATGGTGTGCCTAAACCACGGGACCCTGCAGGAAGCTGAGGTATGAATGACTACCATCATCTTCCCCTCTTTCCTATTTATGTTATTTATTAGGATCTTGAGTCTTTATGTATTTCCCTACCAGGGAGTCTAGCAAGAAAATACAGAGGTTAACTTTTTAAAGGAGCACTTTATTGCAGCTTACCTTTGGACTTTTTATACAAACTGTTAAAGCTGTCATTTATCTCAGTTCTATTTACATATACCATCTTGAGTGTTGAAGAAGCTATAGAATAGGCAAAGTACCAGAAATCAAATTTACCAAATGTGAAGTTAGGAGGCTGATATGATTTGGCTCTGTGTCCCCACCCAAATCTCACCTTGAATTGTAATAATCCCCACGTGTCAAGGGTGGGACCAGGTGGAGATAATTGAATCATGGGGGCGGTTCCCCCATGCTGTTCTCGTGATAGTGCGTTCTCCTGAGAACTGATGGTTTTATAAGGGGCTTCCCTGCCCTTTGCTCAGCACTACTCCTTGCTGCGGCCATGTGAAGAAAGATGTGTTTGCTTTCTCTTCTACCATGATTGTAAGTTTTCTGAGACCTTCCCAGGTCTGCAGACCTGTGAGTCAATTAAATACCCAGTCTTGGGTATTTCTTCATAGCAGTGTGAGAATGGACACATACAGAGGCTGAATAGTGAATGGTCTTGTAAATTGTAATACCCTAAAGATAAATAGACCATGGATTAGCTGCAGTTATGGAAAATATAAACTATTGTGATTCCACAATGATAGCCTGAGTTGAACCATTTCCAAAGAGTAGAGACCTTTCAATTGATCTGTAGCAGGCATCTGAAATCTTTTTCTTTTTTTTTCATATCCCCTCGTTTGTTCAATCACCGGTTATTGGTTTGCCTTTAAATCTTCAGACTCTGCTCACTTTAAATTAGAATATAATGAACTCTTGTTTATTCTTAGGGTGTTTGTAAGCCTCTGAACGACATCCCAAGAAACAGATGAAATCAGTTGTTCATTTAGCAAACACAGAACACCTGCTTTGCACCAGGCACCACCACCCCCCAGTTGTTTTCATTGCCAGTATACTACCTAATCCTCTCAACAGACCTCATGAAATTGGGTGTTGCTTTCAGATAGGGAAACTGAGGCCCAGAAGGTTTAAGTAACTTACCCAAAACCACATATCTAGAAAGTAGAAGAGATAGGATTCTAATCCATTGCTTTCTGACTGCCATAATTACGTGGCTTTGAGTAGAATTAGGTTGGCCAGGTGCTGTGGCTCACACCTGTAATCCTGGCACTTTGGGAGGCCAAGGCAGAAGGATTGCTTGAGTTCAGGAGTTTGAGACCAGCCTGGGCAATATAGCAAGACCCCCATATCTACAAAAATAAAAATTAGAAAATTAGCCAGGCATAGTGGTGCATGCCTATAGTCCCAGCTACTCTGGAGGCTGAGGTGAGAGGATTGCTTGAGCCCTGAAGGTCAAGGCTCCAGTAAGCCTTGATCACATCACTGCACTCCAGCCTGGGCAATAGAGTGAGATTTCATCTCTTAAAAAAAATGGGAATGGGGGCATAGAACTAGGTAGGTAGATAGAATGTATGATAAAGGACTTAATAATTGGAAGCTCAATTTGTGTGTGTGTGCAGACACACATGTAGATGTGTGTGTGTGTATAGATATATATACTGTACATGCTTTGTTTATGAATATATATTCTTTTACATATATATCCTTTGCTTTGTAAGTGAAGCAGTCAGAAAGTTAGTATAGACAGTTTTTAACAATTTGTGTCTGGGCATCCTGTGTTCAATTTATTGATTAGTGGCTGAGTGCTACAAGTGAGATATAACGTTTTTTAGGGAAGTATAAAAGGAATATCTGTTTAGAAGTGATTTAAGAAAATCATGGAATAACTTTTTTGGTAAAAAGGTAATATCGAGTATGTAAACCCTGTGGAGAGATATATTATTGACTTTTGTAGGGTAAAAAGAGCTATAGTGGAGAGAAATTGGACTAGTTACTAAGAATATTGTTGATCTGTGTCACTTCAGAATTGTTTTTAAAATGAGTCTTGGGTATTTGGGTGTATCTTTCTATGCATAATCCTTCCAGGAAAGACACTTCCTTTTTGACTTGCTTCTCAGGTGTCTGATGGGTCAGCAAGTCTTAATAAAGACCACAGTGTGTGCCTGGCCCCATTCCAGGCTGGGCTGGAGAGGAGAATAAGAAAGGCCCGCTAGTGCTCTTCTTATGGAGCTTCTGGTCCAGCAGAGAGACAGTCAACTTATAACGAGTCAGATAATTATAAAAGTGAAATGCAAGAAGTGGGGCAGGCAACAGGAGCTGTGTCTGCTATGAAATCTTAGTGAATTCATGCACATAAAATCTATTAAACATAAGTGAATAGCTTGGTGAAATTTCAAAAAAAGTCCATGACATTTATCGGATTCCTGTATTCTAGACCTGTGCTGACTAATCCAGTAGCCACTAGCCACATGTGGCTATTTAAACCTAGACTGATTTAAATGAAATTAAAAATTTAGTTCAATCATGCTAGTCAGTAATTGCTGAGTGTTCAGCAGTCACATGTGGCTAATGGTTACCAGACCGGACAGCACAGAATAAAATACTTCCATCAGTGCAGAAAGTTCAAATGCATAGTGTTTTAGAATTTTCAGTAAATGGTAGCCACTAGGCACTGACATTTTGAGTATCTAATGTAAGGGGCCAGTGTGCCCAGGTAAGTGGATCAGGACAGGCTATAGTGTCTGTCTTGCAGTTCTCTAGAGCAGAGCTTAAGTAGTCTTCTCATTTTCTTTTTTTCTTGCTTCTTGCTTTCTCTCTCTCTCTCTCTCTCTTTTTTAAAACCTGGTTTTCCTCTGTTGCCCATGCTGGAGTACAGTGGTACAATCACAGCTCAACTTCCCAGGCTCAAGCGATCCTCCCACCTCAGCCTCCCAAGTAGCTGGGACTACAGATGTGCACCACCATGCCTGGCTAATTTTTAATTTTTTTTTTTTTTTAAAGAGAGGGTCTCTCTATGTTTTCCAGCCTGGGCTCAAGCAATCCTACTGCCTCAGCCTCCCAAAGTTCTGGGATTACAGGTGTGAACCACCACATCTGGCTTCATTTTCTTTGAATAGACATTTTCTCTTTGTATTTCCCCCCTCCTTTGTTCTCCTTATCCTTTCCCCACTCTATCCCTTCTCTGTCCTTCTGGTTCTCTTTATCCAGTTTTACTATAAAAGCATTTTACTTTTGTGCATTAAAACCAGACAAACCCATAATGAGTCTTAAAAATTACAAAAGGAGGCCAGGTGCAGTGGCTCACGCCTGTAATCCCAGCACTTTGGGAGGCTGAGGTGGGCGGATCATGAGGTCAGGAGATCGAGACCATCCGGGCTAACACAGTGAAACCCCTTTCTACTAAAAAGACAAAAAAATTAGCCAGGCATAGTGGTGGGCACCTGTAATCCCAGCAGGGCTTACACAGCCTAACCCAGGAGGTGGAGGTTGCAGAGAGCTGAGATTGCACTACTGCACTCCAGCCTGGGTGACACAGCGAGACTCCATCTCAAAAAAAAATAAAAAATAAAAAAAAAAGAATCAAATGTTCTCTATCAACTTGCTACTGTCTTTTTCAGTGATAAAAATACGTGGTAGTGGTAATTGATAATCATTTTGAGTTGAAAATGGAATAGAAGATTATATTGGAGATATGGGTAGCTGCATCAGTTTACATAGGCCTCCTCCTTTGAAAGTAAATACCACACACATGAATTGGACTGTACCACCTTCATTTCTAACTTGCTTTAGATCAAGATTTTATTGCATACAGTTATAACATGTGGCTTATAATCTATATATTACTGAGTATACCACAATGGGGTTCATTCACATATGCTTGACTAGGTTCTATCTCAATGACTACTACTTCCTTCTGCCTTTTAAAAAATGCTTAATTACACAGGTAACACATAAATATACTTTGCTTGTTAAAAATAATTCTGATTAAGCCTGGTTCTCTTTGTCTTGCTGCTATTTATATTACAACACGTGATTCTTCATTCTTCTCTGTCTTACCAAATGCATTTAAGTCTAACATTTCTTCATCTTCAAAGGATGGCAGGAATGTAAGCTCTTTCCTCTGAGTGCTTCCTTGTGCAGGTCTAGCTTACAGAGTTGGCTGTGCTCCATGTACCTGCCTTCTTGATTTTTCCAAATTGGCTCAGCTGTGATTATGCCTCCTAAATTTTATCTATGAAGAGTAGCCTCCTTAGTGACGCACTTAATGCCCAGTTCAAGTACAATTGAACCTCAGTGTCCATGGGTTCTGCATTTGGGGATTCAACTGCCCATGGAGAATACTCAGAAAAAATATTTTTACTGAACACGTGCAGACTTTCCTTGTCATTATTCCCTAAACAATATAGTATAATGAGTTACCTAGCATTTGCATTGTATTAGGTATTATAAGTAATCTAAAAATGATTTGAACTATACAGGAGAGAGGATGTGCATAAGTTATATTTTAGTACTACCCCATTTTATATCAGAGACTTAAGCATCTGAAGATTTTGGTATCTGCGGGAGGTCCTGGAACCAGTGCCCTTCAGATACTGAGGGATGACTCTACTGTTCCCTTGTATAGGAAATGGTAGAAAACGGCAGCTTCCCTTTCAGTGTCATGGAAGCTGGTGAGAGACAGTGACTCAGGAGGACTTGTGGCTAGAGGTGAACACACTAGGAGCCAGGGAAAAGTAAAACTTTCCTCTATTGCATCATCTGGTACTTTTAGCTTTTGCTCTGCAGAGCTTTTCCAATGTACTTGATCTTGTAATCATGTCCAACATGAAATTATGAGAGGCAGGACACAGATTGTTTATTCCAATAGCATTACTTCAGGCGAAGCCCTTGCTTGAAGTTAGTAGCCCTGTTAAAAAAGGTGATGTCTAATTTAAGCAGTTCCCATGTAGTGTTATTGAAGTAGCATCCATCACTTCCTGGGAAAGTTTGAACCATTTGTCTGGCCTGTGCGAATTTTGAGTGGTGAGTGCATATTCCTATTTGAATAGTACCTGCCATTACATGGCCTGAGAGTTTTAACTTCTTCCAATTGCTAGGTGTCAGTGGAGGGCAGGGAAGAGCTTCTCACTCACTAATCTTCTTTCTAAGCCCTGGAGCACTGAAATGACCAGCCTGCCTTTTACTGCTAGTGCCGCAGTGTGCACCAGAGAAAGGGTGGGTGCAGCTGAATGGAGGCTTCAGAATTTCTGTAAGAAGGGAGTTAGGGCAGGGCATTCTGGAGACCTGGGGTGGAGGTATGGTGGAGGAGGGATCGAGTACTGGGGAATTTGAAGCTATGTTTGCAAAATAAATACAGTTTTTACTCAGATTGCATATTTAGTTGGGTGGCTTTGGGAAAGTTGGCTACAGTGATAGGGAATCCAGGTGTTCTTCCCAAATCCTCTGCCTCCACTTGCCATCTCTTAACATTCTTCCTTCCCATTATCATGGTGGGAAGCTAGGGCAAAGGAAGGGTGAGAATGCCCAGGCAAGAGGCCATATTCCTGTTACTGTGGTGTAAGGATCTGAATGGGAAGGGATGAGTGTGTCTGTAATAACCTTTGGCTGCAATACGTGTTGGCTGGAGAAAAGTAAACCTTTGAGATGGTGGGGTTAGAGGAATCCGCCAAGCCAGAGTTAATAGATATTTTTGAGTTTCCTGGCTGAATCACATTTTAGAAAGTAGTTAAAACTTTGTTTTAAAATGTACTTAAAACTGTATAAGTGGGTAATAAGGTTTCTAAGAAAATTCTTTAACTAATGGCACATAGAAAACTAAGCCACAGTGAGTTGAATGTGTCACATGAGTGTATGGATATGTCCCTTTTTACTTATGACTGAGTGGAGGGAGAAAAGACGGGATGATATATGGAAAGATGATCTTGGTTAGATAATGTACAGAGACTTCTATAGCACATGTGAAACAAAGACCAGTGAAAGCTGCCCTCTACAGTGGACTGCGAAGATCAGTGGCCCTGGAATTCCATTTCTTGCCTTCTGCCTCTCAGACAGTGATGCCCACATATGGTTTCCAATCAGGATTTTTAATCTAGTATTCAGGTGAGAGACTTCAGCTTGTTAGTTTCACTCAGGTGAATGGGTGAATGTGCTGTTTTTCTCCTCTGTTAGGAAGAGCAGCTCTCGTTCTCTGCGTTGTGAAAACATTTTTAGTTCCTATGTTAATGTGATTAGACATTGATCCGCACAGTGAGTGTTATTTCCCCTGCCCTGGATTTTGCAAGTCATAGCATCCCCCAAATTGCCCAAACCTTGACAGGTTGTAATGATCCACTTACTAGTGGTCAATTCCATCTCCAGATGTTCTGATATGTTTTATTATTTGTTCAGCCTGTTTAATTTTTAAAGCAACTGTAGCAGAAGCATGATTTGAAGGACCAAACCTAAGTAAAGTCTGGGCGCTTTTTCCTTCTGTTTGGGCTTTCCGGACTCTGATGGGTAGCAGTTCTCTAAAGCCTATCCCCAATTTCTGTTTCATTTTTTTAATTGAGTCTTTTTTTCTTAACTAAAAAGCAATATACATTGTATTTATTAACACTTCATATGGGAACACACACCACTTTTGGCATAAATACTTTTGTGGTGAGCAGGCTTCACTTTCTGCCTCCCTTTTTTGCTTTGTTTTTTTCTGAGAGGGGGTAAGGTCAGTGTTAGTGTAGATGGTGATGCTTGTTTAAATATTATGATCGTGGTTAATACTGATTAACAGGTGTGCCTCACTTTTCATTTCTTCTTGGTTGTGGACGTTAGAGAGATTAAATCACAGTTGTGTGTAACAGTTACAGCACTCCCGTGTGTAGGTGTGGTCTGGCTTCCCTGGATATGCTCTGCTAGGGATGAAATGGAAAAGCAAAGACATTCAGCTGAGTAGGAACTGAGTGTTTTTGTTTTGTTTGTTTGTTTTTTTAGACAGAGTCTTGCTCTGTCGCCCAGGCTGGAATGCAGTGGTGCGATCTCGGCTCACTGCAAGCTCCGCCTCCCAGGTTCATGCCATTCTGCTGCCTCAGCCTCCTGAGTAGCTGGGACTACAGGCGCCTGCTACCACGCCCAGCTAATTTTTTGTATTTTTAGTAGAGATGGGGTTTCACCTTGTTAGCCAGGATGGTCTCAATCTCCTGACCTCGTGATCCACCTGCCTCGGCCTCCCAAAGTGCTAGGATTACAGGCGTAAGCCACCTTGCCTGGCCAGAATTGAGTATTTAATAAGGATCATAAGGTTCATTTTTATCAGAAATGAAACAAAACAAAATAGTGATTGTGGACAATTAGTAGCTTTTGTTGTCATTATTCTGATATTATTGCTCTTATTCTATTAACATGAAACTGAATTTATTTTATCTTTGAATTAAAGTTTGGGTGTTTTCCCCCACCTTTGGAAAGAGTTTCTAGAATGATCATGAGGACCAAAAGTTGTCTTTTGTGCTTGGATAGGAGAGAGAAATTTCTGTTTAACAATAAATAAATTAGCACAGCTTTCAAAGAAGAAGTAGCAAAAATTAACTTTAAATTAAAGACCATTAAGTAGTTGATCTCAGGGTAGTGGTCTCTTGATAGCTGAGAATATACCTAGGGAGCTTTGCTTTTACTGCTCGAATATGGATTTGGTTAGTAATGAATTAGAAGCCACTGAATAAAATAAATGTCTGCAGTCTATGCTGACTGAAATTTAAAAAATGAATAAATAGAGAAGGGACAGCTTTTTCTTACAGTGGAATTTTAATCACCAAGTACAAAATGAATGATAGAAATAGAAAAATCACTAAGCAAATATTACAGTAATAATTATTTTTGGCAAGAATTGTCAGTGGATACAAAAATTAGTGGGCAAAGTTTGATTAGAAACAGGATTTTGCGTAGTTTCAGAATATCTCCCTACAAGGTAATTGTTAATTCCAAATGATAGAGAAGCTGGCAGATACCACCTTAACCACATTAAAAAGTTAACATACTATGCAGCCATAAAAAATGATGAGTTCATGTCCTTTGTAGGGACATGGATGAAGCTGGAAACCATCATTCTCAGCAAACTATCGCAAGGACAAAAAACCAAACACCACATGTTCTCACTCATAGGTGGGAATTGAACAATGAGAACACATGGACCCAGGAAAGGGAACATCACACACCAGGGACTGTTGTGGGGTTGGGGGAGGGGGGAGGGATAGCATTAGGAGATATACCTAATGCTAAATGACGAGTTAATGGATGCAGCACACCAACATGGCACATGTATACATATGTAACAAACCTGCACGTTGTGCACATGTACCCTAAAACTTAAAGTATAATAATAATAATAATAAAACCCACCTCAAATCACACACTAAAAAAAAAAAAAGTTAACATCATCAATAATGAGACATGTTGTCCTCATGTAGCTCCTGATGGCCCCAAGGACACGTCTGTGATATTCTTGCCAAAAATTCATAACCTGAATCTAATCATGAGAAAGCATCAGACAAATCCAAATTAGGGGAACACTGTACAAATAACTGGCCTGGACTCTTCAAACTCATCAAAGTCACAAAAGGCAAAGATAAATTGAAGAACTGTCCCAGATTGGAACGTCAAGGAGATACCACAGCTAGGTACAAGTTGGTTACCTGGATTGGATCTTAGACTGAAAAAAAGACCTTAGTGGAACAATTAGTGAGATTTGAATAAGGCCCGAAGATGCTTTAATTCTATTGTATCGAAATATAAATGTCATTATTTCAATACTATGATTATCATTAGGGGAAGTTGGAATGGCATTTAGCAACTAAATTTAGAAAGTGTTATTAGGGGAAGTTGGGGGAATGGCATTTGGTAACTCTCTATACAAGTTTTGCAACTTTTTATATAATGGTCTGGTGTGATTTTGAATGATTTGGAAATTCTCGGTTGGCAGAAAGAAGATAAATGCATACCACAAGATACCTCTTCATAATCTCTTTTATTCTCTAGGATTGTCAGGTGTAGCAGTCAATTTTACAGTACTTGTGAATATCCTCAAAAAATTGATTGTAGCCCTTTTACCTGCAGCCTGATTTAGTCTTCTAATAATCATCCTAACACAAGTATTAATATTTCAATTTTACAGTTGTAAAAATGGAGGTCTTGAGCAATAGTGACTTAGCTCCAAATGACAGTGGAACCAGGAATTTAACCTTTTGTATCATTTGTTGTTGTGTTTTTTTTTTGTACAGCTCTCATCTAAAGCCAAAAATATAATAGAAATATTTCAGAAAATTAGTTCTAATCTGCAAAATCCAACAGACAACATCAAGGGGTAGATCTTTTGTAAATCTTATGTTTATTGCTTTCTAAGTAATTTCAGCCTCTTGAGTGTAGCTTCTGTATGTCCTGTCTCATTGTATGCTAGGCTTCCAGACCAAAGCTTTACTCATGGTAAGCTGTCAACAAATATTTAGAAAAAATGTGACTGGGTGCAACTGGCTCATGTCTGTAATCCCAGCACTTTGGGAAGCCAAGACAGGAAGATCACTGGAAGCTGGGGGTTTGAGAGCAGCCTGGGCAACATAGCGAGACCCCATCTTTACAGAAAATTAAGAAATTAGCCAGTTATGATGGTGCATGCCTGTAGTCTCAGCTACTTGAGAGGCTGAGGAGGGAGGATTGCTTGAGCCCGGGAGTTTAAGGCTACCTGAGCTATGATTGTACCACTGCACTCCAGCCTGGGTTGACAAAGTGAGACCTCATCTCTTAAAAAAACAGTAATACAAAAGATGCAAGTCTAAATGAGGGGAACTAGGGAAGAGAATGGTGCATTCTATGGGTGTCTTCATTCCAAAAGGACCAAATAGAATGAGAAGCAAAGTAATTAACTTCTTGTAATCACAGCTTTCAATTAAAAAATTGATTTACCTTAGTAAGTCTTCGTTCCATACAAACCTTTGACTTAAATGAGAAATCCAAAGTACCATAAAAGACAAAAAAATTAGAAATCTATGACTTCCCTGTTGGCAGTAGTATGTACTCCAATGAAATTTATTTTTCTAATTTAAAATTAAACATCCATCTCTACAGTTGTTTACTTTTTACTGCATTAATTTCTGTCATTTTTCACATTAACATTTCATCTGTATCTAAAACATCTTCCGTTTGCCTTGTCTTCCATAAACTGTATTTGACATTTATATAAATTGCTCATCATTGAAAAAGAATCAGAATTTTTAGGGGTTGACTTTGAAGGATTTAAAAGGAGGTCATCAGTCCACAAACTATTTTAGATGAGGGTGAGTGGGGTACAAGACTGTCTTCTGGAATCAAAGAAGGTGGTGGTTAAAAAAAGATTCATAGAATATTATTGAGGTCTCTTGGGCCCAGATGGTATCACCCCCCAAGTCATGTTGGTCCAGAAGCTGACGTAGCATTTGTTTGTCCTCCACCCATGATGAATTAGCGACAAAGTCAGGAACTGAACTCTGGTTCCTAAATGCCTCCTATCACTTCATTTGCTTGTACCTTCTGTCTCCAACTCTGAATTTTATTTGAGACATCTTTGTCTTTCAGGAAAGATGTCTGGGTAGCATTATAACAGATGAATAAAGTTGACTTTCAGTGTAATAAAAGTCCAACCACACTGTTGAAAGAACTATGGTAAAATACATATAACATGATATTGCGCATAATTTTTTTTGTAAAGATTGCTAAGGAGCTTTAAGGTACCAGATGAAAATGCAACATTTTCTCCCCAACTGGAGAAAGAAAATTTGGATAAAAATGTTTTTATAATTAAAGTTATGTTTTACCACACTTTACTTGGAATGAGGAAGACCAAACTTGTTTTGTGGTCCTTTATACATTTTAGCTAATTTAGATTCATTTGCGAAATAAACAACTTGAGATTATTTATAAGGGAAAGGATTAGATTTTGAATGCATTATAAAAGGTATAATATTTGTTAAATACAATTTTAGCTGCATCATTTTCTTACTCCAGTTTTCTCAAAGCAGATGTCCTTTCCTTAGTTGCAAGAACGTCAATGTAGGTGTGTTTTGTGCCAAAAAAAGGTGATAGTTTAGAGTTGGAGTTGTCAGGGCTAAAACTCTGTCCTGTATGAACTTACTGGATGTCTGGAAGGCTAATATCAAATGTGATTTGATTTGATTTATATATGATTTATATATGAGAAAATCTTTATTTTCTCATATATAAATCTTTAAGTTATGTCAATATATTTACATTTGACATCAATGGAATTAAAATGTTTAGAATGCTGGTTTAAGAGCAGTTAGCTTTTCCTGCATCTGCCTTTAAAAATAACTAATTTGAAATGTCATTCAGTTAAGTGTGAATTGTTGTTGTTTACTAGTAAACCTTTGGTTTATGTTGCCATCTGAAATGGAAATAGGAGTCTAGTTGCAAGAAATATTTTAGGCATTTCTTTTCTACCAGAGTCTGAGATGTCAATGTCCCATAACCGAGGGCTCTAGGAAGTGACTCTTGTCAGAAGACATGATTTTTATATTGTTTAAAAGGTACTCTTTCCTAGGTGACAAATGACATTTGCATAATTCCTGAGATGCTGTCTACCTGACTTTAGTTTTTCAGGATTCCAAAGCTAGAACTTTAATTTCAAAAAATTCTTAAATGAAGATATAGAGAAAGGAAGCATCTTTAATACAGGAATATGAATAATTTTAGAAGTCCCTGTAATAAAATTTTGTTGTCTGGTCTTGGTAGCCACTGACTGAAGGTAGAAGGTGATCAATGAGTTTTGTAACTGCTCCCTTCAGCAGTGATTCTCAGCTATGGTGGTGGAGTGGGGATGACTTGAAAATTGTTGCATGTGTTTTACTACATGAACAGTGTGGAGAAAAAGAGGTTTGCAAACAATTGGTGTAGAGAAAGTATAATAAGCAAAGCCAGAAAGAGAAATCAAAAGGCTGGTAACTCAGGGCACTATGATGACTGAAGTCTCAACCTTTTATGTCTCTGGTTTCAGATTGCCTGTTTGGTACCTGTGGACCAGTTTCAACTTTATCAGAGGTTAAAATTTGAAAGAGGTATGAACTCTTCTTTTTTTCCTGATGATGAATGTGGTTTTACATGTGTCATTTTTACACTAACCCACATGGAAGATAAAGGCAGCTATGGGCTGTCAACAAAGCCTCAAGGGTACTCTAAAAGGAGAATACTGTAATTGCAACATAAAATTTCAAGCCTCTAAGCTACCACCAGAAAAAAATGCAGACTAGCAGGAAACAGAACTTTCCTTATGTTGTTTGTTTTGTATTTTTAATTTGGCTCATGTAAGAAAGGTTTTGCAAAATTTAGATGGCTTTATAATCACAATAATACAAAAGAAAGTGACCCTCGAAATGGGTTTTACCACTAATTTTCGATTCTTGAAGATCACTTCGAAACATTACCAGCCCAAACATTTTTACTGCTCCTCAGAATACATAACACCTGTTTTTTTGATACTACTTTTGTAATCATGGTAATAACAGAGTATGGATATGTATCATTCTTGTGCAATTTACAATGTATTGGACTGATTTTCTTTCTGACTTTGGGCTTGGGGTAACATATAGCTTTTCTATTTAGCTATAAGAATTATATTTTTACTTCATTTGGCTTTTGACAGGTCTTTTTTAGGAGACCTTTCCCTCTTGTCATACCCTAATCTATTTTTGAGGTAAATGGACTATTTCTTAGTATCTCAGAAGTAGGAAAAAATTGTTTCTCCCAGAAGTTATTGGACTGGTCTAGTCTCATTGAGTATATTAAACTTGAATCTAGCCTGAACATAAAGTTTTCTGATTGCTAACTTTTAAATATGTATTCATAAAGTCTAGAGGTGAGGGTGGGGGGAAAATGAATATTTATTTGTCATGTGCCAATAAGTTTGGTCAGTACAATTATCTTTATCTCATTTAATTTTTACAACTACCCTGAAAAATAATTCTTACAGGAAAAAAGAAAAAAAACGTACAGAGCATGAAGAGGGGTAGAGTAGGAATGCTTGTTGGGGATACATAGGTTAATAGCAACCTTAGATCTAGATCTGGCTTGGTCTTATAGGAGAATAACACTGACTTTGTTTTTGTGGTGTTTTTTTTTTTTTTAAAAATCCAGCAGCCAAAACCAGATTTATCTCATGGGTGGATTACTTAACTCATAAGGCTGATATATTAAGCTAAATATACCAAAAAAAAAAATCTTGGATTAGGTTATTTGAATTCCAAATGGTGGGTACGTTTTTGCTCTATATCCAGATGTGAAGTAGGAAATAGTTTATAATGTTGAACATGGAATCAGAACCAGGGAGTCAGAAGGATTTTTGGTTTAATGGATGATGACATAATCTGATGCTTCTGTTCTGTGATAAGTTAATGATGGGGGTAGTTAATATTGACTCTCTCTAATCCATCCACATGGGCCGATTAGATTGAGCATTATAACACCAGATATGATAGCTAAAGATAAGAGCATCAACCATCTGCCCTGCCATTTTCCCACTTTATCCCAACATCCTCCACTATAAAAATCAATTATAATTAGAACATGGACATTCCCAGTATTCACCCTGTGGATGCCTGGCTGGTAGCAAGTACCATGATTTGAGTGCTTTTACCTGGAGAAAGCCTACAGAGTTAGGTTGGATTTTCAGGCTGCTGCTTAAATGGTGAGATATGACATATCAACCACGTCAGTCCTACTCAGTCACTGGAGCTCAGTCTATTTACAGTATTCTCATGCCTCCATCAGCACTTCTCCTCTCCCATGACTGCCTGTTACTTCCCTGGCTAACTTCACTGCCCCATATGTCAGCAACAGGCCTTGTTCCTAATTGTTTACATTTTAGGTAACATATCTGTTAGCTCAAATGTCTTTTTTGTAATTAGAATATTCTAATATTACCAGGAATTACAACTTTCTGTGGGTTGTTTCTCACTGATGAATATAAAGTTTTGGTTTATTTTAAAATCGTAGCTAAGACCCTGAGTGCAATTGCAGGCTCCACCACTGGTAAGCTGTGTGACCATGGCAAGGTCCTTAATATTTCTGCATCTCAACTTCCTCATCTGTGAAATGGGGATAACAAGTATCTCTGTACCACAGGGTTGTGATGAGGATTATGTGAATTAATACTTGTAAAGCACTTCCTGTGAGTGCTTCCTGTGTCTCAGTGTTCAAAATTTTAACAGTTGGCAATAAAAATAACTTAAAAGTAGCACGTTTTAAATTAAATTATTCTCAATGTTCTTCTCCTGTACACTTTTTTCCCAAAGAGGTAATCATACCGTTCTTCAGGAAATATCATCATACTGAAGTAGATATTATTGATTGTCTTGTTGTCAGTGGGATTAGAACACTTGAAGTTAATTGGCAACATCCATCGTTATGTGGGGCAAGGTAGATGTGGAAAATCATTGGCTAAGATTTCCACTCTTTCCCCAGATAGTGGTTGGCTTTTTGACTTTTCAGTAGTATTCAAACCTGCTTGTAACTGGCTTATTCTTTCATTAGACGTGATAATATATTCAGTCTAGCTACAATTAAGTTGGGCAGGCATCTGAGCCAGTCTATCTTTTTTAGGTGGTGATGCATATTTCTACTTTGCTCTGTTACAAATTGATGAAATAGTTTTATTCATACATGGAATTTATTTTTTTCTCACGAGTTCTGGGCAGATGCCCCACTGTGGATCCCATGCATTAACAATTCATGTTGTTATTCTTATTTTATAGATGAAGAAACTGAAAACAGGACAGATTGAGACTTGCCTAGGACCACATAGACTGTGGCTAACCTTCCTTATCTATACAAATGTTAAAATTCTATACTTTTCTTTTTGTTATTAAACATATACCTAACATAAAAGTTGCCATTTAAACCATTTTTAGATGTGCAATTCAGTGACATTAATTACATTCATACAGTTGTGCAGCCATCACCACTGCTTCTAAAGCTCTTTCATGATCCCAAATTCTGTAGCCATTAACCAATAAGTCCTTATTCCTCCTCCCTGAAACCCCTAGTAACCTCTAATCCACTTTCTCTTATTTGCCTAGCCTAGATATTTCATATGAGTGGAATCATACAATATCTGTCCTTTTGTGTTTGTCTTATTTTACTTAATATATGTTTTTCAAAGTTCCATTCCTGTAGTAGCAGGTATAAGAATTTCATTTTTTAAGGCTGAATAACCTATTGTATGTTTTTAACGTCATTTTGTTTATTCATCTGTTGATGGACATTTCAGTTGTTTCCACCTTTTGGCTACTGTAAGTAATGCTGCTGTGAACACTGGGGTATAATCTGAGTTTCTGCTTTCAGTATTTTTGGGTAAAGTAACTAGAATTGGGATTACGGGATCATGTGGTAATTTTACATTTAGTTTTTGAGGAACTGCCAAATTGTAAAACCCTATAATTTAAATATAAATTTAATAGACATCTTACTGTCATAAAGTATTGCAGTGTATTAAATTTAGTGGCCTTTTGATTTAACCTCCTCATTTTATGAAAAACGTAACAGGCCCAGAGGCAATTTCCTCTTAAGTGATTTTGTTTTTGTTTTGTTTATTTTTTTTGAGATGGAGTCTCATTCTGTTGCCCAGGCTGGATTGCAGTGGCACGAACTCTGCCCACTGCAACTTCCGCCTCCTGGGTTCAAGCGATTCTCCTGCCTCAGCCTCCCGAGTAGATGGGATTACAGGTGCCTGCCACCACACTTGGCTAATTTCATATTTTAGTAGAGATGGGGTTTCGACATGTTGGTCAGGCTGGTCTCGAAGTCCTAACCTCAAGTGATCCACCCACCTCGGCCTCCCAAAGTTCTGGGATTACAGGTGTGAGCTACCGTGCCCGGCCTCTTAGGTGATTTTGGAAGGCAATTTGTAATCGTGTAATTCTTCATTACCATCCGTTATAATTATTATTGGAAAATGGACATTTCAAATAAGAGTAAATTTAAGTTAATGAAGTGCTACATAATGGAATTTACATGATTGGGATACACTTTATCTAATTCTGTCTAAACTTTATCTAAATTATGTAAAATAGACTTCTTATCTACCTCAAACTCGAGACCTTCATCAGCTAGGTGACTTTGAGACTATGTTGTGAATATATATTTGATGTGAAACCATTTATAAGGGGACTTTGGGGTGCATTAAATACCCACTAATACTGTAAATGAGTTAAATGACTAACCAACTGAAAGAAAATCTCATTGGCTGGACTGTGAGACAGAATTGTAGAGATTGCTGCTGCTCTGGAAAAACGTAGAATCAGAGTAGATGCAGTACTATTTCTTAGTTATAAAAAATCATCCTTAGTTTTTTCCAATTCTTAGTGCCTGCCAAGTTCTTTTAGTCTTTAGCTTGTTGTTCAGTGTGTGAATTGTCCTCTGCTTTGTGTTACGTATTTGCTCAGCTTGTCCTTTATGTCTTTAAGTCTGACGGAAAATATTTTGAATAGGATTGCACAAAAATCATCCTCCTGCTTACACGAAGCAAAGAAATACTATCTGATATTGGTTGGTTATTCTACCCGCTTTCCACCCATCTGTGACTTTTTGTCTGGCTGCCACTATGTTTCTGGCTTTCTCTTTCTGCATCAGCTTTCCAATATTAACAAGGAAAAGGGAATGCTAAGTTTGGCATGGATTAATGATCACTGCTTTACTTTCCAGTGGTTCTCAAAGTACATGCCCGATGATTAATGCAAGAATTTTTCTTGCCTCTTGTTTCCAGAGTCTACTTTTTCAAAATAGTTTTTTTTTGAAAATTGGGTTAAGATGATCCATCTTGAGTTCTTACGCACTTTTCCTTTTTTTGTGACCCTGTTTGACTTTCTGTAACTGCAAGTTGCTTCCGTTCCTTGCTAGGTTGATGTATCTGTTCTTGAATATTTATTTATATTACCATATAGCAGTTTAAGAACTCTTACAGAAGGGTTGTGTCATATTGTTCTCCTTCATTTAAAAAAAAGTGAAATAGGAAGTTGTCTTTCTTTTGCTGTCTGTTAATATTACTGACTTCACTCCTGTATTAAGTATGTGCTTATTTATGTATTGCGTGTCTATCCTATGCCAGGTGCCATTCCAATGCTTCTTCAAGCTGTGGTTCCATCTTTCTTTGAAAGCCCTTTTGTTCTCAGCATTCTCCTCAAGCCTCCTTTCATTTCATGTCTTCACATTTATGATATTACTCTAGTTTCACCTTGCTCTTTTATTTGTCCTTGGTGAAATGCTTCCACCCCAGCTTTTGTATCTGATCATAAAGGTTTTATTCCATCAGAGCTCCCTATGTAGTTATGTAGTTTCTTTTAGTGTTTTTTTCCCTCTTTGTAGACTGTGTGATGCTTAAGTACTTTATTGTCTGCTCAGTTTGATTTTTTTAACACCTCCCATCTCTCATTAGTCTACTGAAACAGTTTTATTTATTACAGCTGATAGTTAACTCAAGTGCATGGTGTTTCCCACAATAATAAAAGTTCGTTTGATGTCTTTTTTGGCACAATGGTGGAGAATGGCAGAAAAACCACTCCTGCTAGGACAGAGAATATACAACAGAATCAAAAGCAAACTCAGCATATGTAATGCTGATGGTGCCAGTTGGGAAAACCAAGGGTTTTAAATTGAGATTTTGAAATCTGAAGGCAATCATTAAGGTCAGATGTGGTCTTTAGGTCTCATGGCAGTTTTATTTCCCAGAATGTTTCTGTTTCCCAGTAATAGTCAGAATACAGAAGTAGAAAATAGTTTTAAATAGCATTTCTTGCCTCGCATAATTTACATGAACATGCAGAGTCTCAAGATCACATAGCTGTGGGGCTTTGCTTCAGTAATCAATTCTACTTTTTGTAAGTAAATTGCAGTTTAAGTCTTTGAATTTGTCTATCTCTGATGTAAATATGTCAGAGTTAACCACTTCTAAATCATGTATAGTAATATAAAATTTTGAAGGCACTATTATTTAGGGGCTGACTTACAGGGCCCTGGTTTCTCTTTTACTAGATTTCTGAACTTTTTCCCATCTCAAAGCTACATAATGTTTTCATCACTGCTGATGCAGAAGTAATTAGTTGACTAGGCATCAGTTCACTTTCTTCCAACATTGGAATAGAAATTTGAAGGGAGGGCAACCGGACCTTAAACTTCTGGATAATTGTGCATTTTGTATATCTGTATTATAACTGTGTTTCCTAGGCCAAAAGCCAGGAGGTAGAATTGAATTTACAATAAAAATAATAAAAGGTGTTGAAAAAAATATCCTGTGACTCCTGTGGGCACTCCACTTTGTCTCAAATTCCTTATAGGTCATTAGTGTGAGAAGAGAATGAGAAGAACAGCTCTTCATGTGATAGCAATCTGACTTCCAGCTGGTGTCTACCAGTTTGTTCCTTTTAGCTTGGGTTCTGTGTAGTCCTGTTAGATGCCAGGGCTGCTGATGTCTGATGACTCTCTGCATTTTTTCTATTTCTACTAAACCTGGCCTCTAGGCCATGTGTATAATCTGTTACATGAGGTATATAAGACAAAACTATTCTCTTAATGGGATACTGGAATTATAATACATTTCCTTAAAAAACCCAGCTCTTTTACCTTCCATTGGCTTTTCCTTGTATCTGCTCTTCTAGGAGCTGAGCTGAAGGGCATTGTGAAGTGTAGGTGCCATGCTGTGCTCAGATATCTTTTCAGTGGAATCTGGCCAGATTTCTATGTCTGGATCCCTGTTTCTCCGGGGGAAGCACTTTTACAGAAGTGCCCTTTTGCAAATATCTCTCTGGGTTGTTATTGCTGTTCTCTGGAAACACCTGAATGTAGGGCTGAACAAAATAGAACTTGGCTACATATGCTACCATTATCTTTTTTACTATGGGAAATTGATGTACTGATGCTATGTCTTATATTTCTGTTATGTCACTCCATTTAGTTACACAAATGCAACATTCTAGGCATCTTGCTGGGTCAGTGATTGTCAGAGAAGGGTGAATGGATCTTCCAGGGATATTTGGTGATGTCCAAAGACATTTTTGATCGTCACGACTTGGGTAGGAAGCTACTGGCAGCTAGTGGGTAGACGCCAGGGATGCTGCTCAACATCTAATGCATCATTCATTAAAGTTTTATTGGTTCTATTTTAGGGTGTGTGTGTGTGTGTGTGTGTGTGTGTGTGTGTCTGTGTGTGTGTTGTGTGTTTGTTGGCTCAACAAATATGTCAGGACATCTCCATGACGGTAAATTATCCAATCCAAATGTCAATAGTGCTGCTGTTGAGAAATCCTTTCCCAGCTGATGGGGAATACAGTGATCATCAGGACAAAATCCCTGCCCTAAAGGATCCTGTGTATGTGCATGTGTGTATGTGGGAGGTTAGATAATAAATAAATAATATTAGATGGTGGGGGTATATCCTTTTATATAAATAAGGGTAAGGGGAAAGAGATAGATGGGGGAGGCTATTTTGGATAGGATTTTTGTGGAAGACCTCTTTGATGAGGTTATATCTGAAAAAGGACTTGATTTGATGTGAGCAAGCCATATGGATACTTACGGGAAGAACATCATTTCAGGCAGAGGTAAAGGTACCTACAAAGCCCCTGAGGCAAGAACAAGCCTGGTTTCTGTTTGAGAAACAGCAAGGAGGCCCTTATGATGGAGCTAAGTGAGCAGAGGGGAGAGTTATAGGAGGTAATTTGAAAGTGTTAGTCAAGGGCCTGATCCCATAGATTATGAAGATGAAGTCTTAGTGGGATGAGAAGCCATTGGAGGGTTTGGATCAGGGGAATGTCGTGAAATGATTTCCATTTTAGAAGATTACTGTCGCTGCTGCAGAAGAGTGGATGGTAATGGAATGACATGGCAGCAGGGAGATTTATTAGGAGGCTGTGGTAGTGATCCAGTCCAAAACAGTACAGTAGATTATATGTTAAAAGCAGAAGCATTGAAAATGCCCAGATTTGGAGTCTGTTTTCAAGGTGGAACTGTCAGGATTTCCTGGTAGAGATACATCTGGATTATATGAGTCAGGATCAGTAGTATAAACTTTGGAATCGTCAGCATAGAGGTCAGGTTTAAAGCTGTGACACTGAATGAGCGCATCTAAGAATTAAACATAGCTAAAGAAGCAGTTTCAGGACTGAGCCCTGGGACACTATAGGTTTTAGAAGAGGTGGATCTGGCAAAGGAGATTGACAAAGGATGGCCAGAAATATGAATCCAGAAGGTGGGTGAAGACAGTGTTTAAGGAGGAGAGTGTCCACTGGGTCCGAAGCTACTGACAGATGAGGAGAGATATGGTCTGAGAGTTGATAACAGAGGTCTTTGGTGATCTTGACAAGTGGGTTTTAGTGGAATGACAGAGAAGTGCCAGCTTGGAGAGGGTTCAGGGTACTATGAGAAGAAAAATGGGTGCAGTGAATATATTAACTCTTTCAAGGAGTGTTTTTTGTTTTGTTTTGTTTTGTTTTTTCTTGAAAGGAACTTATGATCCAGCAGAAAGGGATGATACAGGAGAGGGAGGGGGGAGGTAATTGCAGAAGCCAAATCCTTGAGAGTGTGAGGGGAACGGATTTCAGTGCCAGATGGAGGGATTGGATTTACTTGGGGGTAGGTTTAGGTCATCTCTATCAGGAAAGAAGGTGGAGAGGTTACGGACATGGATGCAGGCAGCCTAGTAGATTGGTCTGCATGGGTTCTCTTCTAGTTGCTTGCTTCCTAGGTGCAATAAGAAGGAGGGTCAGCAGCTGAGAGTGAGAAGAGAAAAGGGGTAATGCAGATTTGAAGCAAAAGGAGGAGCTTTATGTAATATGAAAGTATAGCGAACCTAGCAATATTGAACGTGAAGTTTACAAGATACCTCCCAGGTTGCATCCATTCATAAATCATCCAGCAGATATTTATAGAGCACCAACTTTGTGTAAGTCACTGTTTTTCAAAGTATAGAACTGTGACCCAGAATAATAAATCCATTTTATTTTGAAAGCCAGCATGCACACACACACACACACACACACACACACCCCACCCCCAAGATAGAACCAGCAAAAGTTTCATGAAACTAATGTGAGATGCACCCTACTTTCTTTTCTAATCTGTTTCATTTTTATGCTGGTCACAACCTATTAAACTGATACCTCAATCCCCATTGTTTGAAAAGCATCATGATAAAGAATATAGATTTGTTTGTCCCTTTCAAAGAGTTTAAAGTCACACATTAAGGTTGAGGATTGGGGGAAATTTCACTAATTCTTGTGTAGAACCTGCTTCATGTCAGGCACTGTGTTAAGTGTCTCGTTTACAGTGTCTATTCAATCTTGAACATCTCTATTTTATAGGGAAGAAAGAAGTCTTGTGTTAGATGGTTTCTATAGTGAGTAGAACCACACTTTCTCCTATGATAACCCTAGCTGGGTTCAGTGAAAACTAAAGACTACTTCCATTCTGGGTTTTTCTGCTTTTGTAAAATTCACCTACTTTATTACATGTGAGAATCTCATTTACATCTGTATTATTTGGATAAAATGTGGAAATCTTTCAGATCAAAACTATCTGTAGATTGGTTGCTTATTCATAGTTCTAACCTATAGGTTTAAGTGCAATTTTTAAAAATGTGCAGCTGTCAGTAACTCTCAAAAGCAAGGCTTAGAATTGGCTCAGTGTGATCTGGTTCTCACAAACGTAATCATCTCAAAGGCTTTATCTCTAGCAATTTTTTTCTTTAAAAATTATAAAGGTTTTAACATTTTTATTTCACAAAAATCAATAATACATAGACAAGAGATAAATCTAAGAAATATACAAAAGTAAAGAATTAAAATCCCTTTATCTAAAGATCAGTTGAAGTTTGCTTTACCCTTAATATTTTTAGCTCTATTCATTTGTATTGCATGTATATTTACTAAAAACAAAGAGCTTATCTTATGTGTTAATCTATTTAATGAATTTTTAAAAATTGACAGATAAAATTGTATGTATTTACTGTCTACAACGTGTTTTGAAGTATATATATATATATACATTGTGGATATAACTAAAATTAACATATGCGTTATCTATCTTATGTAGTCATTGTTTTTGTGGTGAAAACATTTTACATCTACTTTCTTAGCATTTTTCAAGAATGTAATATATTAAGTATAGTCACAATGTTGTACAATAATCTCTAGCAATTCTAAGTTAGTAGTTACCCAGTTGAAAGAGCAATAAATGTACTTTGAGCTCAGAGGTGCCTACTGTGAATCAAAAATAGAGAAAGTAGATGGAAAAACAAATTGTATAAGTATTCTTTGTGCTTTCAGACAGAGTTACCAATTTCCCTTTTCTTATCCAAAAATGCCATTTATGAATTTCTATAAATGATCTGTGTGTAGCTGTTTGACTGTAAGGGATAAGTCAGCTGTCACTGTTCCAGTTTTGGTTTCTCCTCTTTTTGTGCTGTGCAAATTCTGCACTTTCCCAGACTTGTCTGTGCTGGATGCAGGTTTTATATTAATGTATTGATATGTTTACTTCCAATTCATTACTTTCATGGCCTGTGTTTAATGAGGTGTTGGTAAACAGTCTTTGGCGGGATGAGGGGAACAACTCTGATTTGTAGTGCTTGCCAGTTTTTTTTTTTTAGATGGAGTCTTGCTCTGTCACCCAGGCTGGAGTGCAGTGGCAATATTTCAGCTTACTGCGATCTCCGCCTCCCGGGTTCAAGTGATTCTCCTGCCTCAGCCTCCCGAGTAGCTGGGATTACACGTGTGTGCCACCAGGCCTGGCTAATTTTGTATTTTTTAGTAGAGAAGGTGTTTTCACTATGTTGGCCAGGCTGGTCTCGAACTCCTGACCTCAGGTGATCCACCCACCTCGGCCTCCCAAAGTGCTAGGATTACAGTTGTGAGCCACCACACCCAGCTGAGTTTCTAAGGTGTAAATATTAATACTTCCACCATGGCTAATTTTAAGCTACCAAGGTAATGTCACTGAACTTGGAGTTGGAAAGAGACACAATTGGTTCTCATGAGCTGGCAAGATCCCACTTCGGGATGTGAATGCCCTTGTTCAGTGTTTTCTTTAAGGACAGAATCTTAATTCTAATATCCAGAAAAAGTCTGTTCTCTCTTCTACAGCTTCTAAATGCTGCCTGCAAAGTTGCTACCTCAGGGATTTTTTAAAAAAGATCTGTTGATATGGTGCTTTATCTCTTTGTAATCTAATGTCATTGTGTTTTGTCTCAGCATGTGTTTCCTGCTTTGTTTTATGATTAGGAGGGACTAGTTTTACCCCCCTGTTTTTAGAGTTGATTAAAGGGGAAACTACATTTGGATATTTGGATAAAAAAATCATAACAAACTTTCCATATATAACTATTAAATATTTCTTACCTCTACCCCAAGAGATCCTCATCAATATTTGTTGATAATTTCATTTTTGTTATCTCATGGGATGCACTGTCATTTATTTGCATTGCTTGGTTTCCCTTTTCTTTTTTTGACATTGTATTCATTTTAAACATCTATTTCCTTTTCATACTGTGAAGCTTCTGAGGAGGAAAGCCTCTATTTTTCATCTCCATGTGCCCAGGGTCTCTAACAAGTACCTGAAACCAGTCATTTGTTGAATAAACAATGAATAATAGACATGTGTCTAATTTTCAGTCTTATTGTCATAAGAGGTCATATCTGGAGAAGTTATTTGGAATAATCCAAATTTAATTGAAGTCGAGGCTTACTTACGATATGAGTTCCGTAAATAAGTATGAAAGAAACCTAGAAGTAAGACCTGGATACCATCCATGGATGGGAGAAAGAAAGCAGTATTGATGATAAAGGAGAAGGGACCATGAGAAGAAAAGAGAGGGCAGGGCCTGACACATAGAAGACAGAGTGACGAGAAGTGTCCAGGGTCAGAGATGGATTTGGAAACATTTGCTGAATGTGACTATAGAGGGATGTCACTTGTAATTTTTACAGAGCAGTTTATTAATGTGTTTAGAGCAAAAGTTCATTTCAGATACTTAAGAAGGATTTGAGTGGATAGGAATGAGAACCAGTGAATGTGAATTGCTCATCCAAAACTAAGCTGAGATAGGAAGTAAAATAAAAGTTATGTATAGAGAATAGAATTCTAAAAGGGATAGTTATTTGTTTTAATGTTAAAATTTGTTTTTCATTGTTGCCCTTGTAAGTGATACTTCATAAAGGAGGTTTAATGTTTAAGTGCTATATGGAAAGTTCCAAGTCTTGCCAAATCGATGACTTTCGAAATTTGAGAGCCCTAATTGAGGTGGGTGGAGAGCTATGGTCTAATAGAAATCATAACATACTTTCAACACCAGGACTGATATTGGATGATTTTAATATGCTGTGCACATCTGTTGATGAGAGTACTAGAAGTGAATTGGAAAATTCCAATACAAGGCAATTCAAGATGGTATTATTAGTATGTGCATTATAAGTCAATTGTTGGCATAGAAATACATCTATATGCTTTTGAAAAACCCAGAAATTACTGCTCTGAATCAATAGGTGGGCATCCCCTCACTGTTTCAGGTAAGTTGGAGCACACAAACAGAATGAGAAACAGCCTTGCCTACCGTCAGAGAGGCCATCTCCATGAAATGAATAGACAGCAGCAATTAACAAGATGCCGATTCTGTGCTCCTTCCCCCAAATTAAGGCATGTGCACAATAGAAGGTAGTTCACTTAAGAATGGATAGGTTATGACTTGAAGAAGAAAGGGAATTTTTAGGGGAGAGGAAAAGCATAGGATGAGAATTGTGTATATGGAGAAGAATATGAAACAAAGGGGAAATTTGAATGTGTTTCAGTATTATAAAAAAGTAAATGATTTTTCTAGGGGACAGCTTAGTTCCAGAATTGCTTTATCTGTTTGTACATATGCAGATCAAAGTAGCTTTTTAAAACCAATTTTAAAAAATTATAAAAGTAGTACTTGACCTTTTTTAAAAAAAAATTTCAAGTTTAGAGATGAAGTAAATCTTTGCCTCCTCTCCTAGCCCCTGCCTTTACTCAAGAGTAACTGTTATGTTTTTTTAATATTCTTCTGCAAATGTTAAAGTATATTTCTATATATACATATTTTTATTTTATTTATTTTGAGACAGTGTTTCTCTCTGTTACCTAGGCTGGAGTGCAGTGGCATGATCTCAGCTCACTGTACCTTCTGCCTCCTGGGCTCAAGCAATCCTCCCACCTCAGCCTCTCAAGTAGCTGGGACTATAAGTGTGCACCACCATGGCTGGCTACTTTTTTGTTGTTGTTGTGGAGATGAGATTTCACCACTGTTGGCCAGGCTGGTCTTGAATTCCTGGGCTAATGTGATAGGCCAGCCTTGGCCCCTCAGAGTGCTGGGATTACAGGAGTGAGCCACTGTGCCTGGCCTATATATACATGTTTTTATAAAAATGTTTCATTTATACTCTTTCTGTCTGCTTTTTTTTTTTTTTTTTTTGAGATGGAGTCGCACTCTGTTGCCCAGGCTGGAGTACAGTGGCACGATCTTGGTTCACTGCAACCTCCGCCTCCCAGGTTCAAATGATTCTCCTGCCTCAGCCTCCCTAGTAGCTGGGATCACAGGCGCCCACCACCACATCTGGCTAATTTTTGTATTTTTAGTAGAGATGGGGTTTCACCATGTTGGCCAGGCTGATCTCGAACTCCTGCCTCAGGTGATCCACCCGCCTCAGCCTCCCAAAGTGCTGGGACTACAGGCATGAGCTACTGCACCCAGCCTGCTTTTTTTTTGTTTGTTTTTTTCTTACACTTAACATTATATCTTAGAGGTCTTTCCAAATTGTTATATTGATTTATTTTTTTTAAAAAAGCTATGTGGCGTTCAACTGTATGAATGTATATTATTTGCTCACCTACATAGAAACCTTATAGACATGGCATAGCATGTTAACTTTTTACAAAGGTGTATCAATTTTTATTGTACACAATGTTTTCTACAGGATACTGTATGTGGATGCATTTTTAAATTTCTACTTACATACACATTTCCATGTGCCTCACATTTAGAATGATAAAATCATTGGTTTGGAAAAGACTTTAAAAGTCATCTTGGACATGATGCTTTAATCTCGTTGATAAAATATCTACCACACAGGAGGAACAGTCCTTGTTTGAACTGGGTACTTGCTTGCTATTACCAGAAATAGCCACATCAGCTAAGATGCTTTCAGCTGCAAGGAACAGAATGCCTGCCTAAAAGTGACTTTAACAGCAAGGGCATTTCAGTACCTCACTCACAAGTCCAGAGGTAGGCTGTCATGGGTTTTGGTTAATTTATTAGGTTGGTAAAATTGCTGTTTTTGCCATGTTTTTAATGAAAACACAAATTATTTTTTACCAACCTAATAGCATCTCTGAATCATTTAGCTTTCCCTCATAGCTGCAAGATTGTTTTGATGATCCAAGCATCATAACCTCACACAGTTGGGTTCAAAGGCAGAAAAACAGAAAGGCCTTTCTTTCCTATGTATCAAGGTGGAGATCCAGTCCCAGAAGCCCCTTAGTGGACCTGCCTTTGCCTCTCATTGGCTAGAATCATGTCACATGTCCAAGACTTAGTTTCATGGAATTGTGGGAAAGAATATCTCTAGAATATTCAGATTTTATAGTGATAGGTCTTCATAAGGAAGGTTCAAGGGGGTTGGGAGAGATGTTGAATAGACGCTCTACAGAGTTGGCTAGAGTAGTCAATTTCCTTTTTGGATAGAGTCAAAATCTGTCTCTTAGTTACTCCACTAATGCTCTTAGTTAAGCTCTGTAAGCCATTCCTAAGGAATAAGGACTTCTAATGAAGGAAATGTGTAGAAAGCTGTAAAGTTTTCCTCCTTTTTCTTTTTCTACACTCCTTTGCATGGACCTTTATGTGCTGTCATAATAGTGAAAAATACGGAAGTTCAGTGTTTTCTCTGGCTCAAACTCTTTCCTTGCTTTCAACGGACTGTGCCATAGCTGCACTGCGCCATAGCTGCACTGCTTACTAAGGTCCTTTCTTTATAGTAATTCATCAAAACCTATAATTTCTCCTTTATTTATTTGTCTGTGCTTCCCTTTTGTCACCCCAGATACCTGAAATAATAAGCTGGTAGAAACAAGTCGGAACTTCTACCAAGTAGTTTTAATTGATTAGAGCTATGAGAACAAATTGCATCCTTGTATCTTTTTAAGGTGATCACTAGGGATGCTATAAATTTTAACAGTAATATGTGTTTTAAGTTTCCTTTTCCCTTATTTTTCCTTCTTTTTCATCAAACTTTTAAAAGATCTCTGATTTAGAAGGGAAGCGAAGTAGATATTTGATATGGGAGTCTTTCACTCTAAGTTACATACTAACCTTCATTTCTTTGGGCTTAGTATTTGTGAAGCGGTTGTAATAGATTGGAAGAAAATATTAAATGGTGTAGAAATAAAAGACCAAGGCCTTGGATCCTATGTGTGCCACTGTTTCCTTGACTTCTTAAGGTTTTAGTGATCTTGGAGGGTCCATCTCTGTTGGGGTCTGAGCATCTGTGAATTATAGAATTTCCTCCTTGTGATTGCATTTGTGTGAAGGGTTCACTGTTCTTTGACCCCCACCCTCCAGAATTCCTAGATAAGACCATATATTTAAGGATGCAATTTTTGAATGAAAACTTATAACAAGATAGATCCAATTATTTCATTTCTAGGCGAGACATTAGTGGAGACAGTATTTTATTGGAACATTTCAGACTTTCTCCTTGATATTGAATGTGTAAAATTATTAACTGTAAAAACTAAATTCCTACTTAATACCTTTATTTTCTTTTTGCACCATCCTTTGGATTTGTTTGCCTCCTGTGTGTACATTTCTAGGAATCATGAGCCCTAGGACGTTTAAAACTAGAATGTTGTCAATTCAAATTTTGCAAAATACCTGAGTTCAGAGAAAAAAGGGGTACTCTACCCCTCAAATAACATCATTTTTTACATGGTATGTTCCCTTAAAGGTCATAGTATATGGAAAGAACATGGGGTCTGCTACTGAATAAAAAAGAGATACCAAGCAAGATTTGCAAACACTTAAATAGATGGCTGTCAGTTCTCCAACTCTATCTTCTTTCCTGTATGTCATATGGAACTAGCCAATGTGTTATGACTAGCTATTATAATGGTCTGTGAAAGTCTCTCTGCCTTTTGTTTCTAGAACATGTGGGGGTTTTTTTTGTTTGTTTTTTGTTTTTGTTTTTTTTGTTTTGTTTTTTTTGAGACGGAGTCTTGCTCTGTTGCCCAGGCTGGAGTGCAGTGGTGCGATCTCAGCTCACTGCAACCTCTGCCTCCCGGGTTCACGCCATTCTCCTGCCTCAGCCTGCCAAGTAGCTGGGACTACAGGCACCCGCCACCATGCCCGGCTAATTTTTTGTATTTTTAGTAGAGATGGTGTTTCACCCTGTTAGCCAGGATGGTCTTGATCTCCTAACCTTGTGATCCGCCTACCTCAGCCTCCCAAAGTGCTGGGATTACAGGCGTGAGCCACAGTGCCCGGCCCACATGTGGGTCTTTCACACATTGTCCCTAAGTTGCACATTGGTAGGGAGCAGAATATCCAAACTGACAGGTAATCCAACTTCTTGGCTAAGCCACACCAGATACTGTTTAATCCCTAAACTATTTGATTATTTTCTTCCTTGTTCTTTAATTTCCTGGGAATGTGGAAGAAACCTCACTATCTGTTTCTCAGTGCCTGAAAGGACAAAGTCTTTTTGGAAAAATATCTTATTAAAAATTTGCTTTTTATGTCCAATTCTCTTCCAAGATAGTGCCCAAATAATTGTAGAAGGGATTTGAGATTTTTGCCTATTTTACGTGCTCAAAGGTGGGAAATATTCTAAAAGTCTTGTGAATTTTGTTTACAGAGAACACTTTTTATCTGTTCATAAAGGCAATGGTAAGCTATTCTGTTAGTACCTACTTTGAGAAATGTGGCAGGGCTTAGCGACCTTGTAAATGATAGGTTTGGATCCATTATGAAGACTAATAGTAGAAATCCTCACCCTTGTTGTATTATACTTCCATAAATGTCAGTTTAAAAAAGAGGGTAAATGGGGCAGGTGTGGTGGCTCATGCCTGTAAAATCCCAGCACTTTGGGAGGCCAAGGTAGGCAGATCACCTGGGGTCAGGAATTCGAGATCAGCCTGGCCAACAAGGTGAAACCTGTCTCTACTAAAAATACAAAAATGAGCCAGGCGTGATGGTGCGCACCTGTAGTCCCAGCTACTCGGGAGGCTGAGGCAGAAGAATCGGTTGAACCCAGGAGGGGAGGTTGCAGTGAGCTGAAATCATGCCACTGTACTCCAGCCTGGGCGACAGAGTGAGACTCTGGTTCCAAATAAATTAAATAAATAAGAGGGCAAATGAAGGTGAGAAAGACTCAAACATGAATCGGGCAGACCATCACATTTTCTTTCTTTACACTTTAGAAGTTCATCTGGACCCCTACCGAACATGGTGTCCTGTTGCAGACTGTCAGACAGTGTGCCCTGTTGCCTCGAGTGACCCAGGACAGCCTGTGCTGGTGGAATGCCCTTCTTGCCACCTGAAATTCTGCTCGTGTTGCAAGGATGCTTGGCATGCAGAGGTCTCCTGTAGAGACAGTCAGCCTATTGTCCTGCCAACAGAGCACCGGTAAGAAAGGAAACTTTGTCTTTGGGATTATTCACTAGTTTTCTTAGAAATTCAACATACCTTACGTGTAGAAGGAGTTACGTTGTGATGGCGTTTAGAGATTGGTTATTTTCCTGCAGAACTTCCCTGAGAAGTGTCTCAGAATTGGTAAGTTGCCAACAAAAAAGCATTTCTAGTTGTTTGCCCCAGAGGAATCTTCCAGATATTGCTGGAATTAAAGTTTGTATGAGTTTTGCTTTCTCTTTAGGTAGTGAGGCACCGTGGTCTACTGGTTCTCAGTAGGAAATCATGACTTGTTCCCGCTCTTTGCTCAGATACAGTATCTGCCTGTATTGGTATATATCATTCTTGTTGCTTGCAAAATGAGAAAAGAAATTTTCTTACCTGACTAAATTGCCAGCTCATGATGTGTGACAGTCATATTAGAAAGAACACAACAATAGAAACAACGGTCCTAAATTCTTTCAGCACGTAGAAAGGAGGGTTCTCTCATGATATTTTATGCTCTGTAAAGGTTGAGATTTTATCGTGATAGGAAGCAATTAAATCTGTACCTTTTTAGTACAGCGGGTTTTTTTTTGTTTTGTTTTGTTTTTGAGACAGAGTCTTGCTCTGTTGCCTAGACTGGAGTTCAGTGGCACGATCTCGGCTCACTGCAACCACTGCCTCCTGGGTTCAAGCGATTCTCCTGCCTCAGCCTCCCGATTAGCTGGGATTGCAGGCACTTGCCACCACGCCTGGCTAATTTTTCTATTTTTAGTAGAGATGGGGTTTCACCATATTGGCCAGGCTGGTCTTGAAATCCTGACCTCAAGTGATCCACCCGCCTAGGCCTCCCAAAGTGCTAGGATTACAGACATAAGCCACCACACTTGGGCGATACAGAGGGTTTTTATGGCAACAGCAGTGCCCAGAGTGAGAGACCTCTGTGTTTCATTCCTGCTTTGCTTGAGGCTATCGTTGTTCTGCATCAGCAAGAACAAAATACGAGTGTTGTAATCCCATTGGCTTAATCACACAGTGCACCCAGAATGTGTAGAACCAGGCTTCATGAATAGTAATGCTACTTGGCTACGATGCTGTGCTTGAATCTCAGAACAAACAAATGGAGAGGAATAGAGAAGCTAATACACATGGCAGGCATGTGCCCTCTTAGCCGGATTCAAACCACTGTTGCCTACATTTTCGTGGCCATAGCAGGAAGCTCCGTGGGTATCACAGGGCAACGTAAAGAACTCAGAGGATAGGAGGATTTGCATTCTGACATTGTCACTCGGTATCTGTGTGTCTCATAGAAGCCACTCAGCCTCTGTGAGTCTGTTTCCCTATCTGAAAATAAGGGAATTAAGATACAAGTTGAGCATCCCTTATCCAAAATACTTGGGATAAGAAGTGTTTCAGATCTCAGTGTTTTCAGATTTTGAAATATTTTCATGATATGTTTATTGGTTAAGCATCCTTACTCTGAATACCAGGAGTCAGAAAGGCTTCAATGAGCATTTCCTTTGTCATGTTGGCACTCAAAAAGTTTCAGATTTTGGAGCATTTTGGATTTCAAATTGTGGACTAGGGATGCTCAACCTGTAATAACTGTCTTATGACAATATGAGGTTATTGTTCATACGAAGTCTGATAATAGATTTGACAACACTCTGTGAGTTGGATATCTCTGTGTGCTGGGTGGTGGTTTTGATGGGCAGTAGCTAAAGTGTTACATGGTGCTATCGCTCACTCCAATTCCTGTTGCTTATTTTCTGTGCCCCTTGGGGCTGTGAGCCTGTATTGGTCTATTCGTCTGTTTGGAGAAGGTCTTTTGAAAGTATTTGACATTATTTTAAAGTGTTTATATTTGAGAACCCCTTCTCCATTTGTCTAATGAACAGACCATTAGATAGATTATATACGCCCAGTTTGGACCCTGACCTAGTTTCTCTGCTGTGTAGCCAACTCCTTGCCATTCTTATTTAGGCAATGCATGCTTAGGGAATGAAATATTAATTTGACAAAATAGTGAGTTAAATCAGTGGTGGAAACTGTAATTATATAATTCACTGAAAGCCAAAATAAATAAAGATTCCTTCTTGTATGAGTTATCTGTACATCTAATAATGTTTTTGCCCACACCCTTTCTTTTGGAAGTGAATTAAGCATGGATAACTGTGAGTTCATTATCTAACCATCAGGAGCCCTGGGAATTCAACTGATGACCATCAGCTGAATGCCATTTCTCATCCATTTTGTTTCTAGAGCCCTCTTTGGGACAGATGCAGAAGCCCCCATTAAGCAGTGCCCAGTTTGCCGGGTTTATATCGAACGCAATGAAGGCTGCGCTCAGATGATGTGCAAAAACTGCAAGCATACATTTTGCTGGTACTGCCTCCAGAACTTGGATGTAAGTTCCACCTAGGTTTGTTGTATGGTGTTTCCTATACTGTATCTGCACCACAGCTGATATCCTACAGATTTTCCTTTAAAATATTGGGGCAATTTTTGTCCTGCAAAAGGAATTTATTTTTCTTAATGAGACTTACTAAGCCTGATACTTTAGATATCTAAAAACATCTTTTTGATGACCTTACATATGCCACCCTGGTGTTAAAGGCAAGCTTTTGTTTTCAGGGCATTTCTTGCTATTTGCACATTGTCTCTATTATGTAAAGGACTATTAGTGTCTTCATTTTATATTGCTGTTGTAACGAATTAGCACATACTTAGTGGCTTAAAATACCACAAACTTATTATCCCACAGTTCTTCACTTTGGAAGTCTGACATAGGTCTTGCTGGATTAAAATCAAGGTGTCAGCCGGGCTGCATTTCTTTCTGGAGGCTTTAGGGGAGAATCTGTTTTCTTGCCTTGGAGGCTGTCCGCTTTCCTTGGCTTGTGGCCTCTTCCTCCATCTTCAAAGCCAGCAACATCAGATCTCTCACTCCCTTCTTTCTTAGTCGTTGCTCCCTCTGACCACAGCTGGGAAAGGTTCTCTGCCTGAAGGACCAATGTGATGAGATTGGGCCCATCAGGATAATGTAGGATAATCTCCTTTATCTCAAGGTTCTTAATTTAATCACACTTGCAGAATCCCTCTTGTCATATAGGGTAACACATTCACAGATTCTGGGAATTAGGCCATGATATCTTTGGGAGGTAGTTATTCTGCCTACCACTATTAGATTTTTTCTTCGTTTTGAATTTAAAGAAAAATGGTTCAAATCAATGGTGTCTCCTAACTCTCTTCTCTCCCTCATGCTCTCTTGCATGCTCTCACTCGCTCTCTCTCTCTCTTGTTCATGAGCATGCAGCAGTATCGCTACTGTTTTGACAGTGTTCCCTTCCCAGATCAAGGGGCTTGGCTTAATTTTTTCTCACCATTCATGAATCAAGTCTCAAATTGAGGTGCAGTTTTATTCAGCCCTGTGCCAAGGCTAATGGTAACTTCAGAGTTAAAAATGCGATGCAAAGAGTTGGTGAGAAGGTCTTACTTCACTTCTGGTCTTTTAAAGTTTGGGGTAACATAAGTTGTTTATAGATAACACTCTGTTTTGGCAATTTGGACCTCTAAAATATGTCCATATCAGCGTAAGCCCTCAGTTACCATTGAGTTGCTATTCTTTTCTCAGCTCTTTGTTTTGATTGCTTGATTTGCTTTAATTCAACAAGCGATTTGTGTAGTGCTTTAGTTCAGACATGCTTAGTGAGTGAGTGTGCAGTTAGCATGTAATGTCATCAAGCAGGCCACCACCTGCTTGATGTTTAATGGAAAACTAGATATGTTGTTTAAGATGACATGTATGAATAAGAATAATAACCTCCATCTTAGTGATTTAAGAAGAGGTATAAACTGAGGAGAAGAAAATGGACATTTTAGACTCTAGAAGTTCAGCAGCTCAGTTTGGAAGAAATATCTTCTATTTAAAAATTGATTTATCATAGGCCCTTGAGTTACAATTATGTTTGATATTTAAGACCTAGCATGCATCTAAGTGAGTGATATTCTGGATGAGGATTTTACTGATTGTACATTACACATGCATTACAAATGAAAAACAATTTTTTTTTGTTTTCCTTCAGGTTTCACCAGAATATTAATTGGGTTCATATCCACAAGGAGGCTGAGCCCATGAGGTTCTCTTTAGGAGGCCAGAGTGTAAGGGAACAAATATGTGCACCAGATCTCCATCCTTTGGTTGAAATGTGTTTGGGGGATGGTGTTGCAAAGGACATGCTGTTCTGTCTCTTGTGCTGCTCTGGTTCTGGAGATGAAATGGTGCAGATGTTAAATGGCTGAATACACAGACTTCAAATATTGAAGCATCTTTTTTTCTGG
Organism: Homo sapiens; assembly: GCF_000001405.40. NCBI lineage: Eukaryota > Metazoa > Chordata > Mammalia > Primates > Hominidae > Homo > Homo sapiens. The sequence continues at coordinate 18,461,683 of NC_000006.12, forward strand.
TGACTGTTTTCTAAGATCTCATTTTCAGTTTTAGCCAGGGGCATTGGATTGTTGGTAATGATGTTTTTCTCTACGCAAGTGGAGTTCTACATCAGATGGTGGTGTGGATCTCTGTTTATAGGAAAGTTTGAGATCATGGGGCCAGGAGAGGGGTGATTGTCTAAAATCCAGGCCTGAGACGGACACCAAACAGGAATTTTGAGTGTTGTTGGAGTTGAGCTTGTTCCTGCCTTGATTCTCACCCCTGTAGTTTCAGAGGATGAGTTACGCTTAATTGTCTGCTTTAGAATCCTATTCCTGTCCATAGCCTTAGAGACTTGAGCTGTTCAGTTATCTCTTTCCTCTCCTGTGGTTTCAATTTCCACTCTCCACTCTCTCAACATATCCATGCATTCGGCTGTGTCACATTTAAACACGAGTAAACATTTTTCTTAAAGCCTACTTCTTTTCCTTACTACCCCTCTATTTATCTTTCCTTTAGAAGCCAAGCTTCAAAAAAGCCTAATCACCTCTTGCTACTGACATTACTTACCTTCCAAATACTGCAATGTGTTCGGATTGCCACGTAGTCACACCCCGACTGTACCTCTTTCCCAGATTTTGAGTGATTTCTTATTGGCAGAATCCAATAGTACTTGTTTTTAGCATACCTAGATTCTCTGCTGCATTTAACATCTTGACCACTTCCATTTCAGTGATACCACCTCTGTTGGTTTCTCTTCTACCTTTCTGGTCATATCCCAGTTCCCTTTTTAGCCTCTTCCTCGATCCAGTCTTAAATGCCTGTGTTCAGCAGCCTCTTTGCTTCTCAGTTTACCCCTCTTCCTAGTTAATCTCAGTCTCTTCTATGGTTTCTTCTACCCCATGTACACCGATGCCCAGTTGAGTCCCCTTTCTCCATTTGTCTAATGAACAGACCATTAGATAGATTATCTACACTTAATTTGGACCCTGAGCTAGTTTCTCTGCTGAGGTCCAAGTTTTTTTTTTTTTCAGTGTAGATCTTTGTGATGAACTGCCTTTTGAACAGCCCTGCTTGGATGTCTCAACCATCTCTCAAGTTCAACGTGTCCAAACTTATCTTCCCAACAAACTCCATCTCTATGTTGTCACTTCTCTCAATAAAGCGACTGCCTTCTTTTAACCCAATCACTTTCCCTTCTCTGTGATTGCTTCTCCTTGTTTCTCTCCAGTTACTTTCTTAATATCTGAGGACTGTAACTTCCTCTTCTCCATCCATCCTCAGTCACTGGCATTTTCTCTCTCCTGGTTTGCCACACCAGCCTTTCAGCTGCCTTGCTCCTGGTCTTCCCATTCCATTGTACCTCCGCCAGAGCTACCTTGCTAAGATAAGTAGTCAGGTCATTACTACTCTTTTTTTTTCTTTTTAAAAATAATTAATTGAGATTCGTATTGATTATGATCTGCTTTCACTTTGGTGATTTACAAAACTACCAAGATAAAGATTACAGGCTTGGAATTCCTAGAGGGGGTCACTGATATCACCAGAGAAAAACTTTGCCTTCCATTTGGTGATCTGATGTGGTCTGTATTCATTTCTCAATTTAAAACTGCATATTTACTGAAATCAATCTTTTTATTTTTCAGAATGACATTTTCCTCAGACATTATGACAAAGGGCCATGCAGGAATAAACTTGGCCACTCAAGAGCATCAGTGATGTGGAACCGAACACAGGTACCCTGACCTTATAGGGAGCGTGACATAAACCAAAATCGTGATGGCTTAAAGAGCCCACCTCTTCGCCTTTCCTCATTATTCCCTCCTGGGAGGTACCATCCCAGCCTGGGAGCTTCTGGGGAGTGTTAGGGCAGGGCTAGGGAAAAGTAATGGGGTAAATACCTAAAGTTAATTCATGAGCACAGTCTCCTTAAGGACAAGCGGAGAAACAGGGGCACCAGAGCTGCCAGGCAGTCAACAGTGACGTGCAGAATGCAGGCAGATGTTCTTTCCTCTTGAGAAACAGTGGAATGACTTTCCTAAAGCCCTTTAAGGCATATTACCTATCAAAGGCAGTGTATTAGTCTGTTCTCACACTGCTAATGAAGACATACCTGAGACTAGGTTAGTTATTAAGGAAAGGGGTTTAATGGACTGACAATTCCACATGGCTGGGGAGGCCTCACAATCATGGCAGAAGGCAAAGGAGGAGCAAAGTCATGTCTTAAATGGTGGCAGGCAAGAGAGCTTGTGCAGGGGAACTCCCATTTATAAAACCATCAGATCTCATGAAACTTATTTACTACCACAAGAACGGTATGGGGGAAACCACCCCCATGATTCAATTATCTCCACCTGGCCCTGTCCTTGACACGTGGGGATTATTACAATTCAAGATGAGATTTGGGTGGGGACACAGCCAAACCATATCAGGCAGTGCTCTAAAACCCTGTGAGCCCCTTCTAGGGCTTAGATCCCTGTGTACATGCCATTGTGTGTTTATGTGGCAGGTTCAAAAGGAGTCATGGTTTATTTTTAATTTTTAATAGTGTTTTATATTTATTAAAGGCGGTATTCCTTTGGAGGGAGTCAGTGCTAATATCCTAGTAATCATTAACATCCCTTTGAGCTAGTTGAGGAAATTCAAGTAGAGAGAGAGCACCAATACCAATAATTCATGACTATACTGAGCTTGCGACAGCTTGAGTTAGCATTTGGATGGTTTCCATCCTTGATTTGGTCCTTTGTATCTCTCTGGCTTCTCTCCAATTCAGATCATTGCTGGGCACTAGCTGAAAGGTCCCAGAAATGTAACTGTTCTGTGTGCCTGAGATGATGTCTTGTTCAGGCTGCTATAACAAATGACCATAGACTGGGAGGCTTAAAGAACAGAAATTTACTTCTCATAGTTCTGGAGGCTGAGAAGTCTGAGGTTCAGGTGACAGCATGGTCATATCTTAGCAAGGGCTCTCTTCCTGGTTTGAAGATGGCCATTTTTTTGCTGTGTCTTCACATGGCATAGAGCCTAGAGAAAGAAAGCAAGCTCTCTGGCATCTGTTCTTGTAAGAGCACCAATCCCATCATGAGGGCCCTGCCCTCATAAACCAACTAACTTCTAAAGGCCTCGTCTCCAAATACCGTCACATCGGGGATTTAGGGTTTCAACATATGAGCTTCAGGGGGACACAAACATTTGGCCCACAGCAGATAACAGTATAGTTGGAATAAGTATACATATTGAAAGACTTAATTGCTGAAATATGCTTTTCTTTGAAATTTCCAGGTGGTGGGGATTCTCGTAGGCTTGGGCATCATTGCCTTGGTTACTTCACCCTTGTTACTCCTGGCCTCCCCATGTATAATCTGTTGTGTCTGCAAGTCCTGTCGGGGCAAGAAGAAAAAGCACGACCCATCCACAACCTAAAGATCTCTGTGTTCATACGCCCCAGATATGTGAGTTACATGAGATGGCACAGTGATAAAGCCCCATTTAGTGACCTTGCCTCCTTCTCCTTGCCAACTTTGAAAGTGCCTCCGTGTCCAGACTTTGAACTTGCCTGCCAGCCTTCAGCATCAGGAAAGGCCAAGTCCTGGGTGTGAGTGTTCCTGTGTAACAAGAACTGGGCTCAACGGTCCAGCTGTTTCTATGGAGCTTTGGGGTTCCTTGAGATGAATGAACATATCATTTTATCATCCAAAGGATCTCACTGGACTGTTCAACTTCCAGCCAAATTCAAGGAGCTTGCGGGAACATTTGATATAACAAATGTGTTGTCATTGTTGGCAACATACAAGATAACCAAGAAGCTGGAGTCTGTTCTGTGTTGATTTGACTGCCATGAGAAACACAGGGGAAACCTGATGAGGAGAAGGATAAGACTGCGTAAGGAGAAATCCTCATAGGAGCTATAAAGCAGGCTGCTGATCTCAGCAGTTGATATGGTGGTTGTGCCTCTGCTGGCTACTGGGTGTGCTGTCCCCATGTTCCCGCTGTGATTTGGCAGAAACACAATAGGCTTCTCCTTGTGTGATCTCAGCTTCAAGCAGGTGAAACTGCTGTGCAGAGGGAGTTGCCCCTTCCCAGTAAAAGAGTTGCAGCCTGTTAAACAATGTGGTCTAATTTAGTGTCTCTCCCTTGGCAAATGTAAGTTTTCTAAGTTGGCCAACTTGTCTCTTACAGCCAGTGGCTGTGGTCTACAGAATTGTTTCATATAAAATACGGGTAGAGTGGTAGAGTTTCAAAACTTTCGTCATAGATATCTGGGACCTTTCTCAGGATCTGTGTTCACACAGCCAATAGATTTGGAATCAGGCCTAAGAGTACACATGGAGGGTAAATATTAAAGTGCGTATTATGTACATCTAGAATCCATGTGACTTGCAGCCTACCTGTAATTTCTATCCATTGAGCATGCATGGATATACCCAATAGTACACACAAAATAAATGTTTACTTAAGAGCCATTCTATCCTTTTGTGACTGAAATGGTTTATTGTAAATCTGCCTAAAGATTTTTTGCATATTATATATGTGAATTTTGGTTGTAAGTTCATAACTTACCCAAGGGTATAGACTCATAACTCTTTTAAAACAGTGCTTAGTACAATATCCTGCCATCTCTGTAAAAACGCTAATTGATAACCGAGTCATTTACATGTTTTCGAACACAGAATAGCTCTTTTCTCAGCATCATTATTGCTCTTTCAGCATCTGTTAGGACAGTCTGAATACTTTCTGTTTCAAGGCACTGATAAAACCGCAACAAAAACATGTAAGAAATAAAATAGAAATGCTTTATATAATTTAGTTTAAATTTATGTATCACCTCATTGTGACTTATTTTTTCCATTATACCATTAGTCAGATTTGAATAACGAGGTTTTGAAAGGATAAAACCTTTTCTCCAATGACAGGATTATATAATTGCTATTGGCAATGTAGCCTGGTGCTTCATGAGACCTATGCTAAATGTTACTGGAGAGTTCTTGAAGCCAGGGATACCATATCAGGAACTATTCAGGATCTATGATATTTTCTGAGGTAACTGGGTAATAGAATATCAAATTGCTGCTATCTCGGACCTATTGTTAAAGGATGATGCTTTGCCTATGTAATAGGATATATCCTAAGTGGGGATGTGTATATTTCAGGAACTTTAATTCACAAGTATATATTGATATCTGATGTGTGTATAGTACATCTGTTGGTTATGTACATTTTAATTTACATGTTGTGTAGAACATAGATGAGAACTCTGGGAAAACTTGGGAATGGCAACCAACCAAAATCATTTTTAATCATTTATTAGAAATTTCTCAATATTGTGTCTTTTTCTTTTGAAACTCTAAACACTTCAGAAAAAAACACTATCAGTGTAGTTCATGTTAGTATAATTATAGATTTACATATATTTGAATAGTTAATTTGCTTTGTTTTACACGTAGCCCACTGCCTCATTATAGGTAAAAGGCATTTATAACTGCTCAGGGGATTACGAGAACTCAACTGAAACTGAATTTTTGTAACAAGAATGTTAATAGTGGCAAAGTCCTCTGTCAGTAAACTCTTTAAGCTTGGTGCTGCAAAGAGTCTTTAAATGGGGGCTGATTTCAAGTAACCTAAAAGACTGTGTTATCAGAGGAAGAGGTCCCAAATTTGGAGTAAAGATGGGAGAAAATAAATATGTGCTATTTCCTTGGCGAGTTGAGGGAATTTGCCACCTTACAGAGTTTGTATCACTGAATTAGCTGCTTTTGTTTTTTTTTTTTTTTTTTTGCCAGGGCTATGGAGTGGGGGTTGTTTGTCAAACTGATTTTCAATAATTGGATTTAATTTTTTTTAACATTGAAAAGTGCCTGAAAAATGGTAAATTCTTAAATGTGTGTGAGATTGTCAGAATCAACAAAACTAGGTTGGTTAAACATATCTCTGGTACATCAAGGGGCATGATACAAACCAGTCTAAAGACTGTTTATAAAGGAGAGAGCTGGCGACTTATTTTTATTTTTATTTTTTGGACAGAGTCTCCCTTTGTCACCCAGGCCGGAGTGCAGTGGCATGATCATGGTTCACTTCAACCCCTACCTCCTGGGCTCAAGTGTTCCTCTCACCTTATCCTCCTGAGCAGCTGGGACTACAGGCACACACCACCACACCTGGCTAAGTTTTGTATTTTTTGTAGAGATGGGGTTTCTCTGTGTTGCCCAGTCTTGTCTCAAACTCCTGGGCTCAAGCGATCCACCCACCTTGGGCTCCCAAAGTGTTGGGATTACAGGTGTGTGTCACTGTGCCTGACAGCTGACAGTTTTAACTGACAACTTTGATAACAGAGGCTGCTATTTTTGTTTTAGATAATTGGCCAGTGACAGAGTTTACCCTTGCCTCCTTTCTTGGTCTGCCAGCTTTGTCCTTTCTGAGTGATTCTCTTTCTGTATTGAGAGGAAGTGTGGGTCTACATAGGGATGTTTGGATGCTATGGCAAGAATCTTTTTGTGTTTGGAGTGTAGTCCATTTGCAATAGAAATAAAAAAATCCGTCACCAAATTGTAACCTGGATGTTATAGCCCAGCATCTAGAAATCCTATGAAACGTATTAGCACAATATCTTGCCATTGTCCCATCTAGGAAATTTTTTCTTGTTGTGAGGTAGGGAAGTGAGGAGGAAAGCCATGCCGAAGCAAATGTTAGAATCTTAGGCATCCTATTTGTTCATGCCATGGGTATTTGCTTTGGACTTGGAGTCTGTACTTTGAAAGAGGCCTTTGAAAAACAAATAATTCTGTGTGAATTTTCTTGTAGCGTGCTTCATGAAAATATCTACTTATCCAGGTTTGCAAATGTACATGTTCATTTGAATGTAAATCACCATTTCTTGGAACCCCACGTTTTTTCTTAAAAATTATTCTGAATTAAATGTATATTTCTTTAGCCTTCCCTACACAGTACTAATAAAAGACTTTTCTTTCTGTTCATGAATGGATGCCTTTATGTGATATAGAGTCATGTGTGTATGTGTAGCTTTAAGGGCAATTTCAGAAATGCATTAGATGAATGACATTTTATAAAGCGATCACAATTGATATCTACAGGCTATTATGTCTCATGTTGATTCATGATCCAGGAAGTTTTATGTATTTAAAAAATTGCTATCGTGTTATATTTTTCCAATTTTTGGAGAAGAAAATAGCTGTTTAGGCTCTCTAGCCACAATAAATGTAAGCAGGAAATCAAGTGTGTTAACCTTTGTTGCGCTGCACAATTCTAGGCATGTTCAGTTTTATCCTTTGAGAACCAACCAAGTTACTGTTAAATCCTAGGTTCTGAATTTACAAAATGTACCAGAATTTGCAATACCATCTATGGAAATAACTCTTGGCTACTTTACTTCTTAAAAGAAATAGGGTCAGGGGGTCAGGTGTGGTAGCTCACGCCTATAATCCCAGCACTTTGGGAGGCCAAGGTGGGCGGATCACCTGAAGTCGGGAGTTCGAGACCAGCCTGGCCAACATGGTGAAACCCCGTCTCTACTAAAAACACAAAAAATTAGAACCCTGTCTCTACTAAAAATACAAAAAAAAAAAATTAGCTGGACATGATGGCACATGCCTGTAGTCCCAGCTACTTGGGACGCTGAGGCAGGAGAATTGCTTGAACCTGGAGGTGGAGGTTGCGGTGAGCCAAGATTGTGCCATTGCACTCCAGCCTGGGCAGCAAGAGCGAAACTCGGTCTCAAAAAAAAAAAAAAGGGGGTGGGGGGGTGGCAAGTGTAATGCCTTTGTTACACACTTTCTTCTTTGTAGGTGTGATAGTCCACACTGCCAGTGCATAGGAACTCATCATTATCCAGAGCAATAACCAATAATACAGATCTTTGATCATTCTAATAAAAAATGCTGCCAAGTGTCAAAGCCATTTGTTCTGTACAATAAAGGTTGGACTAAACGCTAAGGTCAGTTCTAACCTTCCAAAAGTCTGCTAGAGGCATGTGTTTCCTTGTTATGATTTTTTAAGAAAGGATTTAAGAGTGTTAAGGTCATTTCCATTTGAATTAGTATTCGAGGCAGGTCTTAAGTTGGGTGCCAAAGATTACTTAACAACTAGAGCTTGTGTTTCCATAAAACCGAAAGCTCACTCTCCTGTACTGGTGTTGAAACCTTTTTATTGAAGGCTGGATGCTTCTAAAATGGTACCTGCATACAAAGGTTTACAACTGATGTACAATTCAAATTTCATTTTCTAATCATTCAGTTTTGAGGAAATCAATAAGATCATTTAAAAATACTTTTGGGTTATGGTTTCTTAATTTTCTTAATCATCTCCTAGAATGTCAACATTATTTCATTTTGAAAGTGTGCTTATTGTTTGCTAACCTTGAATTTGCATTCCCAAAGAAATATTGAATGAACCATTTTATATAGCAGTGATTTTAATCAGTGCCCTAACCAGCAAACTCATTGCAATTTAAGTTATGAATCTGATGATTTGGAGGAGAATAATAATTAGGTTTTTCTGTAATTCAATTATTTTCATTTGTTAGATAATAAATCTAGTTTTCTTTAGACCCTAAAGATAATGCCCAACACTATGAGAAAAAGGAAACGAATCTGCTTAAATGCGTTAATAGCAATTATAATGTTTTATTTGTATATTTTTACGTAAACTAAAGAACTTTTGAGAACAATCCTTTGAGATAAATGGAGCAGATTAGATCCATTTTATGAAGAAAGCAATGTTTTGTATTCATGTCTTGCTTAGGTTCATACTGATGAGTGACAGCCAGGAAAAGAATGCACTACGACTTGAAAGTTCTATAATGCTCTTTCATTAGTAATTTCGAGTCTTTCACTCCCAAATCTGTGAGTCCTAAGAGAACATAGTACCCTCTCATTTATCTGCATCAGTGGAGATGTATGTAAGAACATATTTCAAATCATCACTTAGAGGCTGTGTTTTGGTGGGTACCCCTGAGATCCCCTCACCTCACTCCTTGAAGTTTGGCTAGAGAAGGACAGTTGATGGAAGGTAACTAGAAAAATAACAAGGCGGTCTGCATCTGACTTGCTAGTATTGGAAGCAGAATTATAGCTGAATCTATATACTTACCCCAAATGCCCAAGTGCTTGCCTCTCCCCTACAAAGTACATTCTCACAAGTTCCTTTTGATATTTACAATCAAGATTCAAAGGGACTGTTGACTCAGATCTAACTCCTTTCTTATTAACACTGCCAACTTGTACTCAAATGTGTATTTGTAGCCTACCATTAAATCAATTGGCAGTTTCCAAAGCTAGAAAGGGGACTCCAAGTAATGAACTTAATTTCTCATACATAAAGAAGTCCTTTCAATTCCATTTTCTGCCTTTATGATTTTCGATTTTTATCAGTGCTATATTTGCCCTCAGTTTTGCTTTTTTTTAGCTGTTAAATCAGGAATTCGGGCTTTCGATGAGAAGGAAATTAAGTTGAGTGTTGGTCGTTTTATCTTGTAGTTCCTTAAGGACCTGACATGATTCAAGAAGATATATTTCCTTTTGTGGGGAGTGGAGGGGTGGTTAACATCAATAGTACTGAACACATTCAGATAAAATGAACATGAAGGTATTTTTGAGGTAAGTTATGGGACTTCTGATTATTGATCAGCCTCGACTTATGTTTTGAAGACAAGCCAATTCATTTTAAAACAAGTTCAGAAATCCACATACCACCCTGTGTGGTGTGTCCTGAATTCCAGCCTGGCCCTGGGACTTTGGCACCACAAGGGCATGTGAACAGGGTGCTGGGAGAGGGCTGGCAAACGTGGTGCCACCCTGGCCACAGAACAAGTGTGCAGCGTCCTCTGTCCTCCCGGCCCTCTGCCAATCCAGGTGGTGTGGGGTTGGAGGCAGACGCCCAGCTGGCAATAAGATGGCTTCAGTTCTAGGCCTGGCTGTGCTCTTGACTGGTGGTATGGTCTGGGGCCAGCCCTTTATTGTATAGCGTCATTTCATCCCTATCTCAGGTCAGGCTTAGGTGGATCGAGTAAAATCCCGAATGTCAAAGTGCTTCTAAGTGTTGGTTGTTAGGGAGGTGTGAGGAGAGCGAGCCACTGAGTTAGGTGTGCTTGCAGCTGTTAAGTGTAGTTGATCAGTTTTTTGTTTGTTTGTTTTGAGACAGTCTCGCTCTGTTGCCCAGGCGGGAGTGCAGTGGTGCTATCTCTGCTCACTGCAAACTCCGCCTCCTGGGTTCAAGCAATTCTCCTGCATCGTCATCCTGAGTAGCTGGGACTACAGGCGTGTGCCACCACGCCCAGCTAATTTTTGTATTTTTAGTAGAGACAGAGTTTCACCATGTTGGCCAGGCTGGTCTTGAACTGCTGGCCCCAAGTGATTCATCTGCCTCGGCCTCCCAAAATGCTGAAATATTACAGGCATGAGCCACTGCGCCTGGCCGAGTCAATCAGTTTTTAGCCAGGCATTGTTCTGAGAGGAGAAGAGGGGGCAAACTTGGGGCAGGAGGAGGGTAGTCCTGAAATACATTTCAAGCTTGTCTGTGTTGAGAGAAGTATGACCCCCTCCGTAAATGTATTTTCTTTTTAGGTTTAAAAAAAAAATCCTATGTCATTGTTTAACAAATATTTCACAAAATAGTTAAATCTAAGTATATGCTTCATTAAAATGAGGGGAATATGTGGAAAGAAATGCAGAATTTATATCAACACATTGATTTTGGGGGGAAGGTTTATGGTAAGAACTTAGTGTTTAAATAATGCCTTATAGTATGCAGTTTCCTTTTGCTCTTCATACTACTCTAGAAAGTAGATATTACTCTTCACACCCCCCCACCCCCAATGTACAGATGGGAGATGAGACTCAGGGGTTAGAAGACATGGTGCAGGTCGTACAGCAGGTGAGTGGCAAAGCTAGAACTTGAACCCACATCTTGCATGAACTAACTCGGGACCTGTTTGCATTATTTTAATTTTTAAAAGCATCTAAAAACAACACATTTATTACTTCAGTTTCTGTAGATCAGAGGTCTGACGTGATGTTGCTGGGTTCTCTGCTCGAAGTTTCACTGGGCTAAAAATCAAGGTGTTGGCCAGGTGTGGGGGCTCATGCCTGTAATCCCAGCACTTTGGGAGGCCGAGGTTAGCGGATCACGAGGTCAAGAGATTGAGACCATACTGGCCAACATGGTGAAACCCTGTCTCTACTAAAAATACAAAAATTAGCCGGGCGTGGTGGTGGGCACCTGCAGTCCAACTACTCAAGAGGCTGAGGCAGGAGAATCGCTTGAACCCAGGAGGTGGAGGTTGCAGTGAGCTGAGATTGTGCCACTGCACTCCAGCCTGGCCACAAAGTGAGACTCTGTCTCAAAAAAAAAAAAAAAAAATCAAAGTGTTGGATGGGGCTGTGTTCTCCTCTGGAGGGAGGCTCAGAGTCCTATTCCAGGCTCTCTGGGTGTTGTCAGAATTCAGTTCCTTCTCACACCTTCCACGTGGCCCCCTCCATCTTCAAGCTTGCAACAGCTCATTGAGTCTTTCTCATACTTCAGACCTCTTTGGCTTCCTCTTCTGACACATCTCTGGCTTCCATTTTACATTTTAATGGCTACGAGAGTATGTATATTTGTCATTTTCAAAAGGAAATTTAGCTTTTTAAAATCTGTTCTGTTTCCCAGCCCCATGAAGGCAAAGAGTTTTCACAGGTAATAGAATCTGCTTGAAGACATCACAAACTTGGGGAAGAGTTAGCAAAATCTAACTTCTACCTGGGAACTGTTGACTTACCGTTGGAATTGGGTCTAGTATAGCCAAGGAGATCAGCAATTCTGCTTCTGGCTAGTGTCCTTGGGAGGTCCATTTGGTCTATATGTGGGACAGATTTTCTTAAATGGACTCAGAAGAAAACCTGATCTGAGCTTTCTAAACAAACCTTCAGAAGATTCAGGATTGGATTGAATCTTGTTTTGGATTCAGGAAGGACAACTCTTTTAAGAGCTGGCTTAAAGTACAGGATGGTGTTTCCATTCAAGTCAGACCAGTAAAGCAGATGGATCTGAGTTAACCAGTCACTGCCTGTTGTTGAGGGACGTGCAACAAAAGTCAAGGTCATTGCCTCTTCCCCTCTCCCACCCCCAGTGCAGCAATACAGACCCGGCCAGATGCTGTAGATGTTTTAAACTAGCATAGCCATGCTTTTGACTAGAAATGAAAGACTGGAGGGAAGTTTGATAGCTCTCCTAGTCTCTTGTGGACAAGTTACAATTTCTCTTGGCTTCGGTTGCCTCATCTAGAAAATTAGGAAGTAACTGTTTTCTAGGTTCAGTACAAACCTAACATTTTGACTAAGATGGAAAAAACCTCCAGCCCCCTCTGTGAGCTCTATATGCATGAAACTAGTTAGCTCAAGGGAAATTCTCCTTCTTAGACAAAGTAATCCTCAGAAGCAGCTTCCAGATGCTGTTATGGATAATGCCAGAAGCATATGAAATATATTGCCAATTTACTTAAAATGAGCAAATTCAAAGAGTAGTGGTTGAACCTCATGGTTTATCTACAGCTCTTGGTGGCTAAAAAGACCTATAATCAAAGTTGCTTGGGGAATTTCCAGGGACATGTTTCTTCTAGTACCTATACAAAAAATATCAGGACCTCACTCTCCTTATTTGAAGCACACCATGGATTATTATGAGTGTGTTAGTCTAAGGGGCTTGTTATTAATTTTTTTCAGTATACATTGTATTTTCTGCAAATTGAGTTAAATTTAAGGTATATATATTGATAGCATATAGGATAGTATATATGCATGTATGTTTGTGTGAATGAGAAGATAAATAGGCACATCGACTTTGTTAACAAAATTTTTATTCAGTCTTTAATGAATTCGATTTTCAAAAGTAGAACACAAAACTACTTGTGAACTTTGAAAAACGGTAAATAAAGAAATAAGTTAATTAAAAAAACAAGTTAATTAAATATTCAAAGAATGCTTTAAAAGTTTTAAGAGTGGTCATACTAAAACTCAGTCCTCATATTTACATCTGATATCACAAGTGTGTCATAGCCAAGGAAGTAAAATAAGAACTTGTGGTGGGGCATGGTGGCTCACGCCTGTAATCCCAGCACTTTGGGAGGCCGAGGTGGGCGGATCACTAGGTCAGGAGATCGAGACCATCCTAGCTAACACGGTGAAACCCCATCGCTACTAAAAATACAAAAAAGTTAGCAGAGCGTGGTGGTGGGCGCCTGTAGTCCCAGCTACCTGGGAGGCTGAGGTGGGAGAATGGCATGAACCCGGGAGGCGGAGCTTGCAGTGAGCCGAGATCGCACCACCGCACTCCAGCCTGGGTGTCAGAGCGGGACTTCGTCTCAGAAAAAAAAAAAAAAAAAAAAAAAAAAAACTTGAAAAAAATCTTCAGGTTTAATTTCTTTTACCTACCTTAAGGAAAACAAAAATGTGTGTTGATTGCACCTTAAAATGAAAATGATAAAAATAAGTGGTTGTATTCTTCTCCCACTCCCCATTCATAATCTGCAGGGTATTTCTCAAACAATAAATATCCTCAACTGGTGTAAGAATGTTAATTTACTACTGGAGGGAACAGAAGATGACCTGGAAGCATTGTCCCAAGCTAACTGCTGAGGGCTAGACACTTATTTGAGGTCTCTGGTTTTATTTTTTAATTTTATTGTTCATTTAAACATTCATTAAAAATTATAACCTCCATACTATTTTGATTTTAATTAAGTAATTTTGTTTGTAGAGACAGGGTCTTGCTTTGTTGCCCAGGCTGGAGTACAGGGGCACGATCAGGACTCACTGTAGCCTCAAACTCCTGGGCTCAAGCAGCTTCCCACCTCGGCCTCCCAAAGTGCTGGGATTACAGGTGTGAACCACCACAACTGGCCTGATTTTATTTATTTTTATTTTTGAGACAAGGTCTTGCTCTGTCGGCCAGTCTGGAGTGCAGTGGCGTGATGATCTCGGCTCACTGCAGCCTTGACCTCCTGGGTTCAAGTGATCCTCCCACCTCAGCCTCTTGAGTAGCTGGGACTACGGTGCATGCCACCACACCCCGCTAATTTTTTAATTTTTTTGTAAAGACAGAGTTTCACCATGTTGCCCAGATTGGTCTTAAACTCCCGAGCTCAGGCAATCCTCCTGCCTCAGCCTCCCAAAATCCTGGAATTACAGGTGTGAGCCACCAGACCTGGCCTGATTTCATTTTAAAGATTACATTTTAAATTATTGAAGTAAGATTAACTTCTTCTTTTTTCTTTTTTTTTTTTTTTGAAGACAGAGTCTTGCTCTGTCACCCAGGCTGGAGTGCAGTGGCACGATCTCGGCTCACTGCAACCTCCACCTCCTGAGTTCAAGTGATTCTCCTGTCTTAGCCACCCGAGTAGCTGGGACTACAGGCGCACACCACCACACCTGGCTAATTTTTGTATTTTTTAGTGGAGATAGGATTTCACCATATTGGTCAGGCTGGTCTCGAGCTCCTGACCTTAGGTAATCCACCCGCCTCGGCCCCCCAAAGTGCTGGGATTACAGGTGTGAACCACTGTCCCTGGCCAAAATTAACTTCTTAAAGATGCTTTATCTTTGTCTTGTATCCTCCAGTACCCCACAATACCCTGGGGTGTTACATACACCTGTTTGAGAAGCATGAGCAAGTCTACTAGGTTATTTTAATCACCAAACATATATTGAATGCCTTCTTTGTACAAACAAATGTGTCTCAATTAGTTGTTTCAAGTGGCTTAGTTAGGTTTAGGAGAAAGAATACGTTGGTCTACAGAAAAAGGAATGACTGCATTGGGTCATGCCTGGTACATGCCAGGTGATTGGTGTAGACAGGTGCCATGAACCTGTGGAGAAGGAGTGAGATTGTTGGAACTTTTCAATTCACATTTCATGGAGATGATGCTGATCAGGGTGTTGAGAGACAGGATTGTGATCAGCAAGGGCATTACAGAGAGGAGGCATGATGACAACAGTGTGACATGGGGAGTGAGAAATAACTGAATGAAACAGAAATAAAGCACCTGTGGGGTGCAGAAACAGAGAACCTTGAGTGCCAGGCTCCCGTGTTGACAGGTTCTTTTTGGGGTGAGGAGCCATTTCAGGGTTCTGTGCTTGAAGAGTGGGGTGAGGTGCAGTGACTCATGCCCATAAACCCAGCACTTTGGGGGGCTGACATGGGAGGATCACTTGAGCCCAGGAGTTCGAGACCAGCCTGGGCCACATGGCAAAACCTTGTCTCTACCAAAAGTTACAAAAATTAGCCAGGTGTGGTGGCATGCACCTGTGGTCCCAGCTACCTGGAAGGTTAAGGTGGGATGACCACCTGAGCCTTGGGAGGTCAAGGCTGCAGTGAGCCGTGATGGTGCCACTGCACTCCAGCCTGGGCAACAGAGTGAGACCCTGTCTCAAAAAAAAAAAAAAAAAAAAGGTATGTGCAAAGCTACATTTTAGCAGGTTAATCTGACAACAGTCTGTTGGTTAAATTGCAAGGAGAGAAGCTGGAAGTGGCGTGGCCAGTTTGAGGACAGTACTACAATAGTCCAGGTATCATTTAATGAGAGCCTGATCCAGGTTGGTGTCTGCAGGGAATGTCAGGGGAAAGCAAATGAGAAAGATCTTACATAAAACAAAACCAAACCCAATAACACTTTGGTAACTATAGCATCCACCAAACTAGTGCTTTAAAAAAGTTTTCCATTGTAATGTTGTTTTGTACTCGAACATGTTACTGTATTGAATATTAAAACCTCCATAAAATTGCTATCAGTCTTTACTCAGAGCCAGCTTAGAAAGGGTTTCATTAATGTGAGGCTTATTCATAGGACTCACCCTTAAATCATTTTTGGAACAAAGCAGGGAATAAATACAATTACTCATAGGGTATGCTGAAGGAGCAGCCAGATTGGATGCATAAAAACTGAGTGGGAGATGCATTTCTACTTTGTTTTATAACTTTAGTTAATTCTTATGAAAGTAGGGGGTACAGGAGAGTTTCTTAGAGTGATGAATTAATTCATTTAAGAAATGCTTTCAACCCAAATGCCTTCTCCTTTTTGGGGGAAAGCCAGGAGCACTGAAGTACATAACTAGCTTGACAAAGACGGGAAATGGAGTTGAGTTCTGAAAGTGCTTTGAGGAAGTTAATTGACCATGTTGTTTTCATTTACTTGGAAAGAAATTCTCTTTGAAAGTGCATGAGGTGTGTCTTCCCCTCTGCTGCCACTCTGTCTGCTCATAAGATAAACTGATGCAATCTGATGTTATATACTTCCATTTTGTATGTGAAGAACTAAAGCTTGTCACAAAACAACTTAATTATTCTGCTATAATTGATGATTAGCTTGTCCTTATTAGAATATTCTTTTGCCCTATGCCCATGGAAACTTTTTGCTCTCTGTAAGTCTGATAGAGTAGCTGTTAGAGCTCTGCTTAATGTGATTGAACCCAGAGACCTGGGAAGAGAGAGGAGGAACACTGTATTCTGGTCAAATTGGCCTTCTGTTAATCAATATCCATTACTTTAGGAGGGGAAAGAAAGGAGAAGCTGCCTGTCATATGAGAGACAAGCACGGCATTCAATGCAACAAAAAGTGTAAGAAAAGCTCAGCATCCCTAGGTTTCTTGTGTGTTGATCAGTTAACGCTTAGGGAGGATAAGTGAAACTTGGAGACATGCTTGAACAGTTTTCCCAAATTGTTCCATAAATGTTGGAAATGTTCCTCTATCAATTCTGTTAATACATACATGGGTTATATATATATATATATATATATATATATATATATATATATATATATATATATATGTGTGTTAAAACATGTGCATCACTTCTATATGCAAATGTTCCTCTATCCATTATGTTAATACTACGTGTTGTATTGAGAGGGTGAAAATTTTAAGAATTGAGTTGTGTAGAGGTCTTTAATAAGTAAAAACAAACTCTGAATCTCAGAATGGTGTTTTTATCTGGTTTCCTCACAGTTGTTTCTTCATTGCCAGATATTTGTCTATTTCTTAGCCTTTTCAGATAATGAGCTCTTAGATTTATTAATTTGATATTTGCTTTCTAATTCATTAATTTGGTCTTAATCTTTATTAATTTTTCTTCCTGCTTTTCTTGTGTTTTTTTATTGCCTTTTTTTAACTTCCTGAGTTGACTGCATCACTTATTTTCATTCTTCCTTGTTTTTTTAAAACTGAATTTTCCTTCCAGTATAATTTGATAGCCTTGAATAAATAATGTTATTATTGGTTTTTTCTGCAAAATAAGTAATCATTATGTTGATTTCTACTTTCATTTAACGATTGTTTTGGTTATGTAGGCTTTGGTTTTCAAGCATATTTTGTTTTTCCATAAAAAAAATGACAAATTTCTAATCTCATTCATTTTTGCATTGGAGTCTTGTTGCCTGTACAATCTCTACTTCTGGAAATTCACTGAGAATTTATTTGTGGAAAAAATTAGAAAATATTCCATAAGTATTTTCTGTGAAGGGCACAAAGTTTGACATATAAACATTGAATCTTGCTTATTAATTCTATTATACAATTCCATGTTGTCTTTGTTTACTATTAGCTTACTTTATCTACATGGAAAGAAGATGTTGGTCTCTCCATATACTCTCACTTTTATCGATTTCATTGTAGTTCTAGTGTTTCTTGCTTATGTGTCTTAAAATTATTTAATTTCAATCAAAATAACACTCACATTTTAACATATTAGGATATTTTATTAATACAAATTTAAGAAATGATAGGATAAAATAAAACAAGAGCCTCTGACCTCTTCTTTCTATTTTTAGTAGACCCCAGAAACCCCTTTTAATGATTTTGGTTTTGAGTTTATTTGGTGGTGTCTCTGCCTATCTAAATGGTATGTATACACCACAAATTCTTGCTTGGGAAATTCAAATTTGACATAACCACCGTATCAATTGATTTCTTGCCATGAGTTATGAGGATTTAACTCACTTATACACTCTCTCCTACCCTCCTGGCTCCTCCCAATGTTGTTACATCATTACTTTTCATTCCTTTCTTGGCCATATTTCCAGTCTTAGGAATTAAGACCTCCATTCCTCTTTCCATCAACTGTAGATAGCACCTCTTGACTCCGTACTTTATAAAATAAAGCTATGCCCATCTCTGTCCTTTTCTCTACCTCTCTTTCCATTCTCTCCCCATTTTAATTTGTAAAGTTTATCAATCGTACTTAAAAAAAATTTTTTAAACTAAAAACAGAAGAGGAAGTATCAGTATCTAGTACATATTAAAATGCTCATTAAGTATTTGCTGTTAATGTTATGTTTATTATTATGAACAGGGCAATGAAAATACTTTGTATGATACTATAATGGTAGATACAATAATATGTATCTCAAAACATATTATTGTATCTACCTATTGTCCAAACTTATAGAAGGTACAACAAGAGTGAACAGTAATGCCAACTATAGACATTGGGTAGTCATCATGTGTCAATGTAGGTGCATCATTTGTAACAAATATACAACTCTGATGGGAGTGTTGATAATGGGCCAGACTATGCATGCTTGAGAGCAGGGAGTATATAGAAAATCTCTATACCTTCTGATATGTTTTGGGTGTGTCCCCACCCAAATCTCACCTTGAATTGTAATAAACCCCATGTGTCAAGGGCAGGGCCAGGTGAGATAATTAAATCATGGGAGCATTTCCCCTGTACTGTTCTCCTGGTAGTGAATAAGTCTCGTGAGATCTGATGGTTTTATAAATGGGAGTTCCCCTGCCCAAGCTGTCTCTTGCCTGCTGCCATGTAAGACATGTCTTGCTTCCCCTTTACTTTCTGCCATGATTTTGAGGCCTCCCCAGCCTGCGGAACTGTGAATCAATTAAACTTCTTTCCTTTATAAGTTACCCAGTTCTGGATGTGTCTTTACTAGCAGCATGGGAACAAACTAATATACCTTCCTTTCAATTTTTCTGCGAACCTAAAGCTGCTTTGAAAAAAAAAGCCTTGAAAAATAGAAGTGAGTAGGGTATATAGTATAGTAACTGAGAACTCTGCCTCAAGAGCCAGACCATTCTTATTTTTGACCCACTCACTCATTACTGTCTGTGTGACCTTGGACAAGTTATGTAACCTTACTGCTTTATTCTTTTTCTATCTGTAAATTGGGAATAGGGGTTGTTTCTAAGTTCGATGTCTGGCACATAGTAAATGCTCATTGAGGGTTTGTTGTTTTTATTACTATCAATACATATCAAAGTAGATTGTATTTATTTATTTTTTATTTTTTTGAGATGGAATCTCCCTCTCTTGCCCAGGCTGGAGTGCAGTGGCATGATCTCAGCTCATTTCGACCTCTGCCTCCCAGGTGCAAGCTATTCTCCTGCCTCAGACTCCCAAGTAGCTGGGATTGCAGGTGCCTGCCACCATGCCTAGCTAATTTTTGTATTTTTTGTAGAGACAGGGTTTTGCCATGTTGGCCAGCTGGTCTCAAACTCCTGACCTCAGGTGATCCGCCCGCCTTGGCCTCCTAAATTGCTAGGATTACAGGAATGAGCCACTGCGCCTGGCCTTATTTTCTATCTTGTAATATAATTTGATCCTTTACACTTACATAGTCAACTGATTCTAAAAGGAAATATTTTCATTGTATGAACATTTAACTATACTCATTATAGAGTCAAGCACTCATTATAGAGTCAAGCTGTGTGATATGATTATGTTTCCTTAACTAGATTGTTATTTCTGACTCTCACTAATTGTTCAAAATGCTGTATTTTGGACCATGTCTTTGTTAAGAAGTTTTTTGTTTATCCTGGATTTTCTGATTGCCTTTTCCAATTGAGAAAAGAAACATTTATCTTTAGTATTAGATCATTATAATTTTTAAAATTCCTGATTATTCTATATTTGCTTGAAATTTATTTTTTGTTTCAGAATCCATTAAAGTGCTTTTTTTTTTTTTTTTCTTTTTGAGACATGGTCTCTCTCTGTCACCCAGGCTGGAGTGTAGTGGCATGATCTCAGCTCACTGCAATCTCAGCCTCCAGAGTAGCTGGGATTACAGGAGTGCACCACCACGCTCAGCTAATTTTTGTACTTTTAGTAGAGTCAAGGTTTCACCATGTTGGCCGGGCTGGTCTCAAACTCCTGGCCTAAAGTGATCTGTCCGCCTTGTCCTCCCAAAGTGCTGAGATTACAGGAGTGAGCTACCATGCCTGCCCAAGGTGCTGTTCTTATTGGTTAATTCCTTTTATATTGATACCCAAAATTTTTGTATAACTTTTTGCTTTTCTCTGAGTGTTGCGTATCTTTTTTTTTTTTTTTTTTTTTGCACTTGCGATTTTATAATGTATTCAGGCACTTCCCCTTCTCAAATTCTATCTAGTCAATGGTATTTTCCCTTTCCCCAGTGGCTTCCCGCCCAGAGCCCTCCTTCTTCCTGCCTCCATCTGTACCTCTATGGTCAGTTCCATAGCTGTCATGCTGAGACCTCCCTTCCCTGCTCCTGGTTCTGGTTGACTGTCCCCTGGATCCTGTCTTTCTTTCTTTCTTTTTTCTTGGTTTGTCCCCTTCCTTACTTTGCTGGAGTAAATCCTTAACTGAAATGTGTGTGGGAGGCAAGTGTTCTGAGTCCTTGCTTGTGTGAAAAATTTTTTTTTTTGTCTTCTTTCACATTTCATTAATTATTCAGTTAAGTATTGAATTTTAGACTGTATACTAAGAATTCTAAAGACATGAATTCTGTATCTTTCAATATCTAGTTTGTTTGCAGGGGATTTTCCTCTGTTCTTAACTTTCAAAGTAATGTTTATAGCTGTGAGCCCTTTTCCTTTATCCTGCTTATTAGCTGGTAAATCTTTTCAATTTGAAAACACAGTTTCTTTTTTTTTTTTTTTTTTGAAAACACAGTTTCTTAATAAGCCCTGGAAACCTCCTTTTATTATTTCTTTGCCTCCATTTTCTCTTTTTAAAAGCCCTATTAAATATTGAATTTTCCGAGTTGATCTTATGTGTCTCGCCATTTCGCTCCCATTTTCCATTTCTTTGTCATTTTGTTCTCCTTTATGACAGACTTCATCTATTGTTACCTTTTAGCCCTTCTATTTTATTGTGTATCTTAGTGATCCTGTTTTTAATCTCCAGGAGTTCTTTTTAATTTTCATATTCTCCTTTTCCATAGCATCCTGTTATAGATGCAATCTCTAATTTCTCTAAAGATATGAACAAGAATTTTACTTTTCAAAAAGGTTCTCCACAGTTCTTTTCTTTTGTATTTCAGGCTTCATTGAAATGTTTGATGTCTCTTGGTTGTCTGGTTATATTTAGAATGAGTGAATTGAATGGTCAGGAGCTCTGTGTAGACAGTTGGGTTCTATTGACTGAGAGACTTCTCTTTGAGCTGAGTGGACAGGGAATTTATGCCTTACACAGTAGCCCTCTGAGTGTCACAGTTAGGAGGGATTTTCTCTAATGCGCCAATACCCATGCTAATTGCCCTAGTTTCCTCCAGATATTTTATCGATTTTCTTTTGAAAAGACTATTTATTTATTTATTTATTTATTTATTTTTGGCCTAGGAATAAATGCCTTGTTTCAGCTTCTGTTGGAAGAAGAGAAGGAGGCAGATAGGAAGCTGTGGTTGGCTGTTCCTTGCATAGACCTTCAACAAATTCCCCTGTTTTCAGATCTGGTTCTCACTCTTTATCTCTGTTGTGTATGCTTGGAGTAGGAAGCCAAGTAAGTTAATTCCCTTCATTGCAGCAGCACCTTCCCCTCCTCGTTTGTATATAAAGCGGCTGCTTTCTTAGCTCTGCTTTATCCATTGGTCAATGTTTCTCCATCTGTGTTCTGTATTCCAACAATTTATTAAACTCTTTAATCCACTGATGGCATGATGTCATTATTCTGTATTTTTGGAGGTTTATACTTTTAAAAATTACTACTATAGTTATAATGAGGTATCAGAAAGAAAATAGAAACTTACATTTCTTCAGACCTACCATTCAGAAATGGAATTCTGTTTTATATAATTAAACATGCATGCTCTGTTGTTTGATGCAGGTATGTTCAGGACTGTCATACCTACATTTTACATTCTACCTTGTGCAAAAAGAAAATTACTTTCTTTTCTTTTCTTTTCTTTTTTTTTTTTTTTGAGATGGAGTTTTGCTCTTGTTGCCCAGGCTGGAGTGCAATGGCACAATCTCAGCTCACTGCAACCTCTGCCTCCTGGGTTCAAGTGATTATCCTGCCTCAGCCTCCTGAGTAGCTGGGATTAAAGGCATGCACCACTATGCCTGGCTAATTTTTTGTATTTTTAGTAGAGATTGGGTTCTAATTTTTTGTATTTTTAGTGGAGACGGGGTTTCACCATCTTGGCCAGGCTGATCTCGAACTCCTGACCTCAGGTGATCCACCTGCCTCAGCCTCCCAAAGTGCTGGGATTACAGGCGTGAGCCACCGTACCTGGCCAAGAAAATTACTTTCTTTGTCCCTTTTAATGCTTTTTGTCTTGAATTTAACTTTGATATTAATATTACAGCTTTCATTCTCTTTTTAACTGCTGTAATTTTTTAATCTTTAGCATTTATTTTATTTAATATTGTGAGCAGATAGTACAGAGTTCTCATAAGTCCTTTCTCCTTCATACGTGGTTTTCTCTATTATTAATCTTTAGAGTTTTCATGCTAAGATAAATATAACATCTGGTCAAGGCAGAGAATATGATTTCTCATAGATTACCAGGAACACTTCAGTAATAGTAGTCACAGGAAAGAATAAACCTAAACAAATCTAGAGAAAGAGTTCAATACTAATAATAGAAAAGACTTAATAGGTCCCTTAGCTCAGAGATACTTTAATTATAGAGGGTCCTGGAATCTCTATCACTGGAAAAATTTAAAGGATAAATATCAATATGGCTTTGGAAAGAAAAAATACATTACTTCTACAATTAACTTGTTTTATCTTGGACAAAATGTTTGTGAAGCTCCTACTGTGTACTAAAAACTTTGGTGGGTGTATGGAGTACAAAGACAAATGAAACATGAGCTATGCTTTGATGTCTAAATAAAGAGATAGACATGCAACCAAATAATTTAATACAGTGTTCTAAGCATAATAGTCTATTCTAAGTGAAGTCCTGGAACAGAAGAGGGAGTGAGCAGTTTTCCTTGAGTGGGCCCCAAAAAGATTCCAAATAATTGTGGCTTGAATTTTCTATCTTGACTACAAAGATTCATTCTGTGGTATTTATACCTGGAAAAACAGCATTTTACTTTTCTAAAACAATGGCCTTTTTGCATCTGGAATTTCACAGATGGTTCTCAGGTGTATAAGTCAGAATTCAACCAGAAAATAAAAGCCACACAGTCATTAGAATAAGGGAAGTTTAATATGAAGAATAACTATCCATGTGGGATTAGAATGATAAGAGATTGGCTAGTAAAAAGTAAAGAGAACTCTAAAGAATTTAGGAACTGCAGATACAAGGAGAAGCCATGATGTATAGGACTGAGACAGAGCACCCAAGGAAAAGGATTTCCTCTCTCTCAGGGCTAAGATACATACCTCATTGGAATGGGCATAGCTGTGGCTCACCAGATAGTGGAGGAGTCCCTGAAATACCTTGATGAACTTGTAGGAAATCTTTCCTCTGAGGTGCTGAGAAAGCCATTGACAGGGACATGCTGTGCTTTGCAATTCATTGCAATGTTACCTGAGGGTTTGTTGGGGAAGGTATTGGCCATTGAGTGCTTCTGGCTGCTGGAGCCAGAGGCCAGGTGCTAGAGGAGCTCTTCACTATAGGAACTGTTTATTTTAGGTGTCGGTGGCAAAGCCATGATGGCAGAAGCCTAGTGCTGAAGAAATTGGGTACTGTAGCAGCCTAAGAAGAGGAGTGTATAAGAACCACCAAGAGAACAATACCATTTCTCCTCCAATATCTCTCCTCCCTCCACCAACAAAGCTTAACATGTGCCAGCTGGTGAAAAGAAATTGTAAAAGACCCATATGCATTTTACAGAGCAGGATATGAAAGATAGATTTTGAGCCTCGAGGCAAGTAAATTGATAACTGACACAACAGGATAAATTTTTGTGACTTTCTCTAAAATGAATCATCTCTTTGAAAGTTCACATCGTATTTCAGTGTTCATCTTACTGATGTCTTACTGATGGTTTACTGGTTTTCTTACTTGCAATATCTGTTTAGGAAACTTTTGACACTTTCATTTTGACATTTCTCTTGAGGTCTAAAATTTAGAAGCATGTCTGGCTTCAAGGTGTTTTTTCTCTGCCTTGATAGAACAATAGCATTTTGTGGTTTTCTATCTAGAGAATTCTAAATTTGTGGTTCCTTGGTTAACTAATCCAACCTTTCACTGAATCTTTCTATGGTAACTCTGCTCATCATTTTCTTTCTCTGGTCCCTCCTTTCTCACTATATGCTATTGCCTTAGTCTTCTTGATAGTCCAAGAAGCCCAGGGTTTTTTGTAGCTGAGAGTTGGAATTGGTTTTATAACCCCTTAGGATTGAAGATCATCGTCTCAAAGTATTGCACAGAATGTAACACTTTCCAAATGTGGTGTCTAGCATGATACTGATATGAGACATCCTTACCCCCTGTAATCAAGATATTGTATATTTCCTGGCAAGTAAATTTCAAGCCTTTTGGCTCTACAGATTCTCTGTTTCTTGGTTTAGAGGAAATTTAGCAGGTGATGTGTTATAGTATGGAGTCACTTATATGTTAAAAGCTACATTGTGACATGGGAGATTTCAGTGATGAAAAACCGGAAGTGGGAAATCTGCAGTTGGCAACTTGATTAAGGAGAACTTTCTAGAAATGTAGGGGCAAGACACTGATGTGTTAGAAGAGGGAAGATGGTAGCCCTTAAAAAGAAACAGTGTGACATACATGCTGAAGGAACCATAGTAACTAAGAAGCAACTCAACGATGATTAATGACTAATATTGAAAAAACATTCCGGAAGCAGTGATCCAAAAAAGGCTGGGAGAACTATAGAACTGTGCCCAAACCTCCTTTTTGGAATTCTTTTCAATGCTTGTGGAGATTTTGGAGAACGGAGATTGTATAAGACTTTTTTGCTGTGATACATAATCTGAAGAATTCATGCTTGTCACATAATCTTATTTTTCCCATAGCAGTGGTAATAATATATTTGAACGTCTACTATGGGCTAAGTACCATTTAAAACATTATTTACCACCACTTATCAGATGCAAGTTATAATCATTCTTTATGGGAAAACTGAGTCTTACAAAGTTTAGACAACTTGATGTGGGCCAAGTTTTGGACCTGGTATAAGTTCTGTGAAGGCAGATATTATAGCTGTTTTGTTCAGTTGGTACCCCTGGGGGCTTGAAGAGGGTCTATCACATAATAGGTGCTCCGTAAACATTTGTTGACTGGATTAATGATTCCCATATCTGAATGTTTTTTACTCCCTCTTTTTCAGTATTTCATATTGAGATTATTTAAGAGTTTGGGCCATGGCTCTCCTAGTTCTCTATAATGGATATTCCAATGGGTTCTGAGAGTAGGAAGATATTAGATGAAGGTAGTAATGTTGAACTGGTGAGCTGGAGGTCCTTGCAGGTGGGAATAGGCTAAGGCTGGCATAATTGTATAGAACTCACAGCAGACCTAGAAAGGTAAGTCATCATTTAGTAAATGGCTTTGTCCTTCCATTTGATAGATTTCACACAGGAATCTTTAACCTAGGAAGTATCGTACCCAAGGGGGTTCATGGGAGGTTCCCAGGAAGCCCACTGATTACTGAAATTGCATGTAAAGTTGTATGGTGATGTATTTTTCTGGGAGGAGGGTACACCATTTCTAGGGGGCTGTGACACTAAAAAGATTAACAGTATTCAATGAGAACACTTATCATTTACCTTCTGCTCGACCATAAAGTGTATTGTTTTGTAATATTGTAGTATTTTTTGTAATTTTGTAATATTGTAGTATTTTTGTGTAATATTGGACTTGACACATTCTTTTTGTTGATTTTTATTAAAAGGAGAAATTTCATTTTGTCCTACACATAGTGAATTTTAAATTATTTTTAGGTATAGTTGACATTTCCGAGCTTAGGCCTGGGGCACTTCTCTTACTGAAAAACCTATGTCACTCAGAAGCCCAGAGAAAATATTAATTAATTTCCAATTTACTTGGAGGCAGGATGAAAATAATAGGTTGGTCTCTCCTTCTGACCACCCAAGATGCCAGCCACCCTGAATGCTTTTTCTTGTCCCTTCATGTTTTGGATCCAAACTAGCTAAATCAGGATCTTTTAGAGGTTTTCTCTAAATAAGCTAGCAAGCATTTACCTGTTTGAAACAAAACCCACAGACCTGCTTGCCTAATTTTGGCAACCAAAACCCTGTGGCTGTGAGCAAGTTTGCCTCCGTTTTGATCCATGATGTGTATGACAATATATTTTTTGGCTGTTCTAAAGCAGACTGCCAATTAGATCCAAATGTGTCAGACAGACTCAGAGAGGGTACTAGTGGCCAAGTTTCCATTAGTGGTTACTACTGATTGATGCCTGCAGCTTTCTGTTCATGTACAAATAGAAACCTATTCTCATCTTTGATCTTGGGGTTGGGAGTTGAGGTAATGAGGAGAAAGTCCCGGAACACAATTAAATCTCTTTGTATCTCTCAACTTGTAACTTTTGTTTTCCATTTAACACAGGAAAGACTCTGAATATTAGGAAGTTGTGATTCTCTTGTTCAGACTAGGGCATGCTTTTCATTTGCTCAGATACAGAAGGATATAGGGAGAAGGAAATAAACCATGTTTATGGAAACACAGCTCTGTGCCTGTAACGGTGTTAGATGCTTTCCCACGTGACCTCATCCAATTCCCTAACAACTCTAGAAAACGAGGATTCATATTCCACATACTCTTAAGGAAACTGCGTTTCAGAGGAGAGGGAGAAAAATACATTCTTCTGTGTTGCGCACATTGTAAGTGGCAAAACAAGTTGAAACAGGCAACTGTTGGCCTCAATGGCCTGTGGTATTTCCACTCCACGGTATAACAATGTAAGTGATTATGGTGTTAATCCTCCTGGTACTGCAAAAGAGCTTTATGAAAACCTTGAATGCACAATGGGAATGGGAACTATTCTGAACAGTTTATTTAGTCTAGAAGCTTACCTGTGAGTCATCATAGACCAATACAAAAAAAATCAGAAACCTAATTTCTAGATTTTAGCCTTTGCATTAATACTTAGAAATAAGCTGGTCTGTCTATCTATCTATCTATCTATCTATCTATCTATCTTAGTCTCTGCCTATAGTTTCTGAAACCAGAATCTTGTTCTGAGAAGTAAACTGTGCAAGGGGAAAGGATGAAGGAGAAAAAAAGCCAAGCGAACCTCTTTTCTTTGTAATGAGTCATATTGCCTGCACTTGGATTTTCACTGACACCAGCTAGGACAGTTTCTGCCCCTCCTCTCTCAAGGAAGACCTTAATGATGGTTCACAGGGCCTGAATCTTATCTGTGGTACCAATTAATTCTGGAAACTAAAAGTGTACTCATTTGAATTTATGTTTAAAATTTTTTTCTTTCTCCCTCCTATACTTATTTTCTAGGGAAGTAATTTGACATTTGGGTCTGCATTACACCAAAGTGAGTGAAAGATACTTTGCTACAGTTTTTCAGGGAAGGGAGGTTTATTTAGCTGTGGTAAATAGCCTAGAACAGAGGTTGGCAAACTTTTTCTGTAAAGTGCTGTATCGTAGGTACTTAAGGCTTTGTAGGCCATACGGTCTTTGTGGTTACAACCCAACTGTGCTGTTGTAGTGTGAAAGCAGCCAGTCAACACATAAATGAGTCAGTACGGTTGTGTTTCAATAAAACTTTATTTATGCAAACAAGAGAGGGGCCACATTTGGCCCCTGAGCTGCGGTTTGCCAAACTTTGGCCTAGAACATATCTCAGGTTTTTCTCTGTGTTTGACACCTACTGCCAAGCACATAGTAAGTGCTCAATAAATAATAAATGTTTTTAAATAACTGCACATGTAAAGGAACAATAGAACTCTTTCCAGACTTTATAACTAGCAACTATGTTATACATTAAGGAATGAGTTGGTAGGAGTAGAGTCAATCTACAGATAGAAGAATAAAGCATGAGAGGTTAGGGCCTCAAGAAGCTGCAGGCAAATTTTCATGTAGAATTCAAGCTCCCTGACTCTAATCAGTGGTGCATTTACTGAGCTCCTTTGGTGCATGCAAGTTTATATTATTTTACCATTTATTTTAAGGAAATCTATGTCTTTCAAAGAGAATAATATTAATTTCTGTTGCATCAGATAAGCTCCTCTGGGTTGCAAGAGATAGAAAACCCAGTTCAAACAAGCTTAAACAATACAGGGAAGTTGTTGGCTGATGAAACAGAAAAGTCTTGATATAGAGTAGGCTCCAGGCAAGCTTGACTCAGGCACCCAAAGTCACCAAGAATCCAGTTCCTTTCTGCCTCCTTGTTCTGCCTATCACTTGGTCATCTTCATTGTCAGATTCCACCCTATGGGGTGCTCCTTAAGGTTTTCTTGCTTGGGATGGTGGAATAGGGAAAATGAACTAAATCCTCCTCAAACTTTTGCTGACCTTGGCCAATTGAAGAAACAGAGCACAGATAAAAAATGGACTAACGTGTCCTGGCTGGTGAGTGGGAAGCCGAATGAAACTGGGCAAGTCAACTGAATATTTGGCAGTCCTGAAGACTGGGAACAGACCAGGGAGTAGATGCATTCTAGGGAGAGGAACATCTTTGGAGGTATGCAAGAGTCCAGCAAGTTTGCTTAGTCCAAAGTTGTTTAGAATCACTGGAGTATAAAGAGTAGGGGGGATGTAAGGATGGATGGACAGGTAGGAGAGGACCAAATCCTGAAGTGACTTGAAGAAATCAGCTTTTATCTCCAAGATAACTAGGGCATTGCTAAAGTTTGAGCAAGGTAGTGACGAGATGAAACTTACGTGTGAGAAAAATTATGTTGATAGTTTTGTGGAAGGAGGTTGAGGGAGAAGTAGGGAGAAAAGCAATGAACCTGATATAATTAACTGGATGTAGCATATGATGGTGGGTATGAACAAGAGAAGAAGAGTAAGAGAGCCATTTAGATAGAATGAACCTGCTGGATATGGGGGAGAGTGAATCAACCAGAATGATGCTGGTCTTCTATTTCAGGAGCTGTGTGCATGGTAAGGCCACAGATCATGACAAATAAATAACATTTCCCTGCATTTCCTTTTGAGGGCACGGACATGGGAATCTGGGGTGTCTTGTTTATTTTTCCAGATATGCTGAATGGGAAGAACCCGAATAAAGGTGACAGTCTCCAGACAGTATTCTAGTTGCTCAAGTCATGGTAGAGTCTATGCAAGGTCTGTAACCAGTTTATACCCATGGTCCATGGGTATACTGATGGTCTGAAGGATAAGTGAAGAGCCCAGGCCAGATAGAATTCAGACGTAGCCCCAGAGGCCCTGGCTACTCAGTCTTTTCAAATACTACTGGGTGGAAACCACTGTGAGGGAAACTTTTCTGTCTAACCTTTTTTGGCTTCTGTTGCTAATGGAACATATTCTAGGCATCAAAGCCATTGTCAGTTCTGAAGGAGAAAAATGCCTCTCTTCGGCTTTTGTAAATATCCTGGCTGG
Organism: Homo sapiens; assembly: GCF_000001405.40. Lineage (NCBI taxonomy): Eukaryota > Metazoa > Chordata > Mammalia > Primates > Hominidae > Homo > Homo sapiens. The sequence goes on from NC_000006.12 coordinate 18,491,340, forward strand.
GGGATTCACCATATGCAAATGCCTTAGGCATCCTGGCGGTGAGGGCACAGAACACTGTGTCCATCTGTGACTCAGCCAGGCCCCACAAAGAGCAATCACCAAACCCGCAGAGGGAGAAGGAGAATTGGAAGGAGCCTCGGCATTGTTCTGGCCATGGGAACGTATGTTGGGAATATTGTTCCAGCCACTGCAAAAGGGCTCCCAGCATTGCTTCCCAGGAAACATCATGCGTTACACTGGTGACAGTAGCAGCCGCACAGGTTGAATGACCACTGGGGGAGCGGTGGATAGATGCTCACATAGCAGTGTGGGCAGTTATGGCTTTGCAGGACACCATCCCCCTCCACAGGGGCTCAGCTCAGCACGCCTCTAAAGGCCTGAACGGAAAGAATTGTGGGTGGGAGCCAAAGGAACACATTATTTAAGAGAGATTGGTTCTTTAGTTAGAAAATGCTTAGAGATATGGCAGAAAGGATTCTAAATTGAAATGCAGTGACATTCTCATTAGATCCAGGAAGTCTTTGAAACTTTCAGACTGAGTTAGTTGCTTTTCAGGTAAAACCAGTCCCCAAGCCATAGCTGAATTGGTAGTGCAGCATTAGGCAAATAGGCAGATGTGGCATACAAAGAAATACGAAAGACAGCTATGAATGTTGGAGAAGAAAGCTTTTTTCTACTCTCTACCTTCCTTACTTCTCTGGATCCTTCTTTCTTGTCTATTAACAATGCTGTCTCTTGGCCGGGTGCGGTGGCTCACCCCTGTAATCCCAGCACTTTAGGAGGCCGAGGCGGGTGGATCACCTGAAGTCAGGAGTTTGAGACGAGCCTGGCCAACATGGTGAAACTCTGTCTCTACTAAAAATTAAAAAAATAAATAAAAATCAGCCAGGTGTGGTGGCAGGCCCCTGTGACCCCAGCTACTTGCAAGGCTGAGGCAGGAGAATCACTTGAACCCAGGAGGCAGAGGTTGCAGTAAGCCGAAATCGAGTCATTGCACTCCAGCCTGGGCAACAAGAGTGAAACTCCATCTCAAAACAACAACAACAACAACAACAACAACAACAACCTCTCTCCTGATATTATGGCAAAAAAAGAGTTCCCTGAGACTTGGTTTTAGATACAAATGAACAAATGAAGTAGTAGGGATTCTGTTCAATCTAGTTCAGCATCCTCTGTTGAATGTTCACTATGGGTGGGGCATTGTGCTATGGATGAAGGTCAGGGGAGGTGGTAAAACAAGACACAGTCCATATTCCCAAGGTGCTCACGGTCTATGGTGGAAGACGGGCATCTTTTAAAGTAAATGTTACACAAATCAAACTGTAGTAAGTGCTCTAAGAAAGGTATAAACAAGATAGAAAGACAAGTGAAGGTATTCTGACTAGAGACATAGGAGAGATGCAGGAAAGAACTGAACTGGGTAGAAAGATGGAGTAAGAGGGAGTGCAAGAGCAAGATGGCAACAGTGAGAGATAGACAAGGCACTAGAATGTTCTGAGAGTAAACGTCCCCACATAAACACTGCTGGGTTGGGTGGCATGGCAGAGAGCCCCCCATGAATAACTTGCTTCTCTCAGGGTATTGGAATTGGGACAGTTGCTCTTCCATGTTTAGAAAAGTTTAACACCTGACTGAGAGTCTGAGACAGGCTAAAGAAGGGCTGCTCCTCTTTGGGGATGGGGGGGTTCCCCAAGAACAGACTAAACACAAAGGCTCCTCTGACCTTTCACAGTTAAATGACTGTGCCAGGACAGGAGAAAAGTAAGAGTTTTTCCTGGTCTGTCTTTCCTTAGTTAATATTTATCAAGAGTCTTTCCCGGGTGCTGTGGAAACCCCCTGATCACAAGGAATGTGAAGTAAGATGGAGGAGATACAGAAGTTGGTTTTATCGCTTTAAATATGACACTGATGTTTTTCAGAGACCCTGGAGATCCTGAAACCATTCATCTATCAAAGCCTTTCTCTTAGGCCTCTATTCTGTGCAAGCCATGAAAGAACAGGCCTTCATGAAGTCTTGCTTTATATATTTTTTGAGACATGCATTTCTGAAAACTGGACTAAATTATATGCTTGCCTGATTTTGATTCAGCGACTGCCTCTAGAGATGATTGGGTTGGAGTATTATGAGGAATTTTCACAGTCAACAAAGCCCAGCCTAAGAAAAGTGGAGAAATGCAGGTGCCAACCCACAAGTCCTACAGAAGACGAGGGGTGGGGTGTGGAATGTGGACAGGGCAGAAAGTCACATTTCTTGAAGAACTTTATTCACCAGGCACTGTGCTAGGTACTTTAGAGGCAATCCTTAGTCTCCACTGTGTCCTGAATGAAATAGGTGGCGTCCCTATACAACAATGAAGAAACTGAGACCTGAGTGGTTAAGTAACTTGCCTAAGGCTCATCTACTCAGCAACGATGCAGCCATTATTTGCAGGCCAGAATCCAAGACTTACTACCTGCTCAGCTGCCCTGGGGAGAGAGATGCTCTATCAGAAAACAAACAATGCTATTCTTTCATTGTGCTAATACCAGGAAAGGAGGAAGTGCAAACAGTACTACCCCTCCAACAATCTTGCTGCTGCTAGGGCAAGACTTCTCAAACTTTTTTGTCCACCACTGTAGTAAGAAATACATTTTAAAGGAAGACCCAGTGCAGTTGTATATAAATCTTCACATTTTAATATGTGGAATTAAATGAAGCAAGTCTTATGTTAAGTAAGTGGGTAGTGCTCTGACTTCTATTGAAGTAATTTGATCTATTAGTTCATAAAAAAATAAAATGCTGATCCTGATTCTGCAGGTTGGGGGTCGTCTGCACAGTAAAAGCATTCTTTGGGTGTAACAGATTGGAGATTTGTTTGCACTTTTGGACAAAGGAATTTTCACAGCGTCTTTCCTCTTTTGCATTCATTTCTCTGGCTAAGGACCCAAGGTTAACATTTTATGACTTATTTTTCCCATAAAGGCTGTTTGGTTCTATGATCTCCAAGAGCCTTTCACTCTACTTGTGTGTAGGGTTACATCCCATAATATATGCTACATCTTCACGTTCCTGAGAACGAAGGGCGCTAGTGTAGCCCTAATCTGTGGACGACATTCGCACAGACACAGCTCTGAGGGTGTGTGCATATCAGGCAGGTTAACGCTTGAGGAGGGCTCCCTGGTCCTACCCCTACTGTGGGGCATAGACTATTTTTAGATGCAAAAGGTTGGAAAAGCAGTTGCTCATTCCTGTTAAAGTATTACATCAATTTTCTTTTTAAAGGAACAGCTAAACTATATTCTCTAATGTGTACACAATCATAGAGGAATTTCGAATGTGAGAAAGTTGATCATGTCTGCTTTTTAAAAAATTTTCCATTATCTAGGTTAGGTTATATAGATTTCCCCCTTAAGACTTCTGCTTTTTAAATCAGCAATTTTAAACTTCATCCACTGAATTTTTTGCTAGAGTTGGTGGTCCCTGGTGCCATCCCACATAGTGTTGAAGAGGGTTGGGGAGAGAGGTGGTGTTTGATGAGCTGGGCTTTATGGTCTATAAAGGGGACCCCATCTGAATATCATGCTTCCCAGATTTGTGGGAAGGAACCTGCAGGCACAATCTTTTTGAAGCAACTTTGTGTGCTATGACGTGCCGGGCAGATAGAAGCAATGATCACTATTAGATGTGGCGCTAAGAGAAACGCTCTTTATCCTGATGGTAAAAGATGGCAGGCATTTCCACGGCGCAAATGAGGATTGTAACAAGTTGCTGCTCTATACCTGCTCACAAAACCTGTTACTCTATACTTGACCAATAAATCAAACATTTACTGATTCCTTATTATATACTAAGCATTGTGCCAGGTTTTTGTGGAGGCTGAAAAAATACGAGATATGCTCTCTGCACTTTAGGTGCTTATAATTGAGCTTCAGGGAGAATATAAATGAAAAAAAAAGGGGGAAAGTCCATCATTACAGGATGGCATGTAATTTAGTGCTAAATGGTGTGCTGCAGACCATGAGAGAAAAACTGAATGGTCAGAAGAGTCCGAGGAACTCAGACCTGCCTCATGGTCTGTGAAGGAACATCTGTGTTGGAAACCAGAGAGAGGAATGAGGAAGCACCAGAGGTCTGTTTATCTGAAAAAACTCTACTGAGTAACCTGTAACCCTTGGGTTTTATCTGAACTTCTTTGTGGTGTGGATTAAACTCAGGGCTCAAGACAACCCATGCACTATAGCACCGACTGAAGGTCTTGGTAAATAACTTAATTGAAGGACCATGACTTCTGCATCTTGGTGTCTTAGTCTGCACAGCCTGCATAACAAAATGGCTGAAACAATAGTAATTTTATTTTTCCCAGTTCTGAAGGCTAAGGAAGTCCAAGATCAAGGTTTTGGCAAGGAGGGTTTCATTCTGAAGACGCTTCTCTTCGCTTGTAGGCAGCTGCCTTCTTGCTGTGTGCTCACATGACCTCTTCTTTGAGAGAACTCTGGTCTCTTTCCTTCCTATAAGGGCACTGATCCCATCATGGGGATTCTACCCTCATGACCACATTTAAACCTCCCAAAAAACCCCACTTCAAAATATCAATACGTTGGGGACATCAACATATGAATTTTGGAGGGACACAAACATTCAGTCCATAACACTTGGTATGCTCAAGTTGTATGATGGAAAGGAGAAAGGGAGAAGCTTACCAGAGGGTCCACTTCCTCAGTGAACTTTGCTACAGAGAAAGTGCATCCTAGCTACTCTATCCTTATCATTTGATGTGCTCAGTTCTTTCAAGGGCACACTGATTTCAGCATCTTCATCACAGTTGAAATCAAGGCTCTGAATGTTAAATTGGAAGGCTGCTGTGCACCAATTTTTGTGTTTAGTATTAAGGCCTCTTGAATGCATGCTTTTGAGAAATGTATACTGCTCTGTGCAAATCATACAATTTATCCATCAGCTTCCATCATTAATTTAACATATGGGTAGCAGAGAAGCCACTACTCACTCAGTTCTCAACTGACTGCCTTAATGATGCTTTCTCCCCCGTCCTTGGTTCTTCCACTTAGTATTTCTAGTGTCATCTTCCTCCTATTTGATTCTTCTTCACTGCTTCTTCCTCCTTGCTCAGGAAGACATGAATAAAGAAGCAGTGAGTTGTTTGTTTCTTTATTTTCCTGCCTGTGTACTAGAAGGAGCCAGACCTGGTACATTCATTTGAGATAAGCAGGGTTGGGTTGTAGTTAAATGTTTGCAGAGAATGTTCCAAGGAAAACAGAGTATGGGGGTTTAGATGGGGAAAGTGCCCTCTGAGTCAGTATCAGATGAGGCCTCTGTTGTGGTGCTGGGAAGGTGGTGCTTGGGCTATGGAGAAACAATCCCACAACCTGAATAATAGCCTGTGGCCAACAGAATTCTGTGTCTTTTCTTCCAAGTAAAGCCGGCTACTGGGCAAATTCCAACTCGGGTGATCCCATTGTTTTCAACATTAATCATTCTCAGAAATATTGAGTTTTCTAAAGTGTTTTGCCAAGGCGGCCCTTGGAAACCTGTCTATGCTTCTGGATGAACCAACCTAAGTCACATCACTCCAGATATCATGGAGGATATCCATATGGTTATATGGAATCATAGAAACTTGTGGACGGAGGAGACTTAGGGATTATCTAGTCCAACCTTCTTGATTTCAGGTAAGGAAAGCAAAGCTCCCTGGCTGGTATCTTTTGCCAAGTGGCAAAAGAACTGGGCCTCTATCTGGGCTTCCTGACTCTCACTCAATTCATGGTTCTGTTGAATATGCCCTGGTTTGGAAAGTCTATGTTTTGTTTTGTTTTTCTGTTGCGATAGGCTTCCTTTGAGGATTGCCTGGTATTTTAGCAAAATGCTGGGAATTTTACAAGCTCATGGTTTAATAGCCAGGGTTGGCATTGATTTCACCTCTAGCAGAGCTAGTAGCGGATATAGAGGTGATAAATAAAGCTTAGAAAATGTGCTGGGATAAAATCTGTTAAGTCAACAAAACTAAAGCCATGTTTCATTCAAGACTGAATTTTGTTCTTAATTCATTCTGGGGTCAGACTGGAACATAGGCTTTCCCTAGGCAGTTTTCACGGGCAATGGTATGAAGAGCTTCTCTGTCTTTAGGCATTGCGATATATATTGAGGGAGGGGAGGGTATGGTATTAGAGAGAAGGAGAGAAGGAGAGAGCAGTGTAGCCAGGAAGGAAATGACATTTATGATTTGTGTCAAGAAACATATTTTTCTTCTCTATTATGGTCTTTTTATTGAAATACAGGTTATCTAACATCTTAAGGCTTCCTCTGATAAGAAGGAAAATAAAGATTAATTAACAATGTGTTTTATGGCAGGTTGTGTGTTCATAAAAGGTCTTTTGACGGGAAGCCAGGAGACCAAGTAGCCTCAGCTGTACCACTAAGAAGTCAAGAGCACCCAACAAGTCATTTCTACGCCTTGACCTCCAGTTTTGATTGTTTTTTTTTTTACTATGTTGCCCAGGCTGGAGTGCAGTGGCACGATCTCGGCTCACTGAACCTCTGCCTCCTGGGTTTAAGCGATTCTTGTGCCTCAGCCTCCTGAGTAGCTGGGACTACAGGTGTGCGGCACTATGCCCAGCTGTTTTGTATTTTTAGTAGAGATGGGGTTTCACCATGTTGCCCAGGCTGGTCTCAAACTCCTGGCCTCAAGATCCTCCTGCCTTGGCATCCCAAAGTGCTGAGGTTATAGGCATGAACCGCCGTACCCAGTCAAACCCCAGTTTCTTTATAGTGTCATGAAGAGGTGCATTATTAATAGATGACTTCTTGGGTTTTTTTCTAGCTTTGAAATTCTAGATTATCACTTAGAGCAAGAGATCTTGTTCCTGAAACCATTCTGATTGGGTTGTGTATTCTGCCACACAGAGCAACGGCTGCTAATGCATACAGTCCAGAATTGCCTGGTTTGCTCATTAGCACCCTGATGATCATGAGTCCAAGGCTGCCTTCCTTCCCCTACCAGAAGCTGATTAGGAAGCTTTCATAATCTGGAGATGGATGGGATGTCCCAGAGACATCTTGTCCAAAGGATTCTTTCATCCCTTGTCTTGAAGGCTTGTTGTGCTGCAGGCACCTTGCTCAGTGTCTGCCCTGGGAGGGTAGTCCCCTTCCTCTCACAGGACCTCTCACCTGGTAGAGGTCATGAAGTGCTCTTGGCAAGTATTTTTGATTGTTTGAGGCAAGACTCAGGTGGTGTTAAATGAAACTGGCCCAGGGACATTCCCTAATGGCTCAGTGCTCAGCCACTTCACTTTTGGGCCACAGATCAGCCTTTTCTGGCTGCCCCTTGGAACTGCTGATTCCCTCAGGCTGCTACTTCAGGTCTTAGGGCTAGCCCTTCTTTCAGGGAGTCTCTAACACTTGCCCAGCATGTACTCTGTTCACATAGCGTTCTAACTACTCGTCTACATGGCATCCAATGGTTTTTGGCCCCAATCTTACATCTTAAACACACACACACACACACACACACACACACACACACACACACAGACACACATACACACACACACACACGCTTTTTTATAAATTTTAATTTTTTTGTTTTTGAGAGACAGGGTCTCGCTCTGTCACCCAAGCTGGAGTGCTGTGGCGTGATCACAGTGTTTGCCACCATGCCTGGCTAATTTTTAAATTTTTTGTAGAGATGGCATCTCACTGTCTCACTATGTTGCCCAGGCTGATCTTGAGCTCCTGGGCTCAAGCGATCCTCCTGCCTCAGCCTCCCAAACTTCTGGGATTACAGGTATGAGCCACCACACCTGGCCAGGAATGTGAGTTTTCTTGGGTCATAGCTTGGTAGAAAGGTGGTGAGGACCCCTGAGACTATGAGAGGGAGGATAGCAGGAAATACCTCTTGGATATTGAAACAAAGAAAACTGTTGATGACAAAAACAAACAAACAAAAAACAAAAAAAACCCCAGAATCCTCTAGGGCAGAAACTTTGAGAACAACACTGCCTAATACTCAATGGTAAGTTTTGTTTAGGAGCTGTACTCTTCTATTAAACCTAAGGTTTTAGTAAAAGTTTGTTCCATGAGGTAGTAGTGATAGTGTTACTTTGAGTGCTGAGAAGGAGGAGGGAAGGTGGTGGCCAAAGGTGTGGGAATGGGATTAGAAATCAGAGCAGTATCCACAGGAAGCAAAGTGAGAAGTAAGACTGAGAAATCAGCAACAGCAGGAATTTGGAGTGGTATGAACCAGGGGAACATGTCTCCTGGATGCCTGGAAAAATTAGGGAGGGTATTGGATGGAAGATGGCAGATAACTGTGAAAAGGGTGCCCTTAGGTAGACTTGGGGACATTTGGTTTATCTAACTGGGACATCCACACACACAATTGTGTGCAAAATGATCTGGCATCATGCAGTACATTGGATGAGGCTGTGCACTCCTGAACCATCTAAGTCCATGGTTGCACATTAAAATGTCATGTTGAGCTTTAGAAAATACTTTGCCCTGTCCCTTCCCAGAGAGTCTGCTCTAATTGATCAGAAGTGAATCCTAGACACTGAAGTTTTAAAAAAGATCTCAGGTGATTCCTAGTGTGCAGGTAGATTTGAGAAAAATCGACCAAATTGTAATTTTAAGGTGAGTTGCATCCAAGTGATTTTTACTCATTTCTAAGTTTATTTCAATTATAGAGACTGAAGGGTAATCTGGAAGGTATTGTCAGCAAAAGTAATTCCCAAGATAGGTTTATAAAACATCAAAAGTTTATACTCCAAACTATACAACATTTTAAAGCAATATGTGTCAGGGACATGAAGATATGAATAAAGCATTCAACCTAGAGTTTCATTTTGATTCAGACCAGCACTGTAATGAAAGTTTAATTTCCTTATCTGTCAAATAGAGCTAATCATGGTATCTGCCCAACCTCACAATTTTGGAACTAAACAATAAAGTAATAGATGCAAACCTATTTGATAGATTTAGAAAGTTTTATTTCTAATACTGTGGGGTATTGTTGTTTTTGTTTTTATGTAGTCCCAGTCATGAAAGATTGTATATGTGTGTATATATATGTACCTATACATATTTAAAGGTATATATGTATTTTAAAAATACCTAATTATATAAATATAACATATTTATAAATGTGTGTTATATATCAGGTATTTATATGTATACTGATAGGTACATTTATATACACAGAAATATATAAAATATATGTCTACATATACACATGTGTATGTATATGTATACAAGGTAGCCACTGGGCCTTTGGAAGCAAGGCCTTTGGAGCCTAAAGAGTGCTATGCCATGCACAGAGAAACCACTCAATCACAGGTGCTGATAATTCCCAGGACTACCACCAGCCTCGCCTTTGTGCTGACAAGACTTCCTGATACGTCCTCAAGGATGATCAAATGAACTTCATGACTTGTTTCTGTTTCTGCCCTTGGACGACTTCTGCGGAAATCATCTCTAGGTAAGGGATTGTTATAATTTAGGATCTTTGAGATGAAGGGCACCGCTTCATTGATTAGGGGGACACAAGATGGAAATAAAGATTTTATTACTTACAGGTACTGGAGGTTACACGTCATGCCCAGAGGGCACACACTGAAGGCAGGGAGCACACGAAGACAGAGAGAGAGAGAGGAATCCACGCACTAATGACTTTACTGGGTCCAGGGTGTTATCCAGGCAGGTCTCCAGTGGGAGTTTTACATGGTGGGTTTAGCGAGCAGGCATGAGTTCAGGAGGTCATGCTGCGATGAGCGGTGGTCGCTGTGACACATCTGCACAGTCTATGTGGGCTGTGGGAGTCAGCAGGGCCTGCCCAGCAGGCTATATCTAGCTGTCACTGGGCAGGGGGTCACCAGGAGGAAGTTGTATAAGGCAGATATCTAGATGGACCACACTGGGGGACTGGGTTTGGGAGTATAGAACTAGAAACTGCACCAAGAGTACCTAAGCCCTGCTTCTGGTATGAGAAAGTTAAATTTATATTCAAAATGCATGTTGAGGCAACATAGAATAAGAATTCACTTCAGGGATATAACCTGGAGGTTAGCATGGGGAATGGGATGCCCTGGAGAACCACGGCCACTTTCCCAGCTCTCAGACAAAAGCATTCACATGGATGTTATAGAGTTTCTTAGAAGGGCCACTGGCAGGAACGGCCCTCCCTGCGCCCCCGCGAAGCCCCCCTGGTGCCCCATGAGGAATGGCCCTTCTCAGTAGCTCTTTTCAATTCCTCTCCATCCCAGGTTACCTCTACGGCATTGAAATTCTCAGTGACAGAGAAGTTCTGGGCTCTTCATCCCTGTTTTGGGGCAGGGAATCTCTCTTTTGGCCTTGGGCTGTCCCTAGTAAGGAAGGAGCTCTAACAAGGCTTTTGTGTGTGTGTCAGAAGACGGCCCGCCCGGCAGGAGCACAGCAGCTCTGTTGTGGGCCCAAGAGGAAGCTCTGTAAGAACAGTCTAAGGGGAGGAACAGGGGTTGGTGGACGTGCTGCTAAGTCACATTAGGGGATTCCAGTAAACACAGGAAAAGAATGTGGTGGTTCCCCTTCTTGCACAACAGCCTAGAATGCACTTTCCATACAGTGCATCCTCAGGAAGGATTAAGAAATAAGGAATTAAGGACATGGTTTTAGGCCCTCATTTCTTTGCTTCTTAGAGCTCTTCTTTCCTCCCTTATCTTGGGGTTTTTCAAGGTATTCAAAGTCCAAGGTTGAAGCTGGGATTTAGGAAGGTCACTCTGGGTTTTGTTCAGCTCAAGGTACACCTTGTCTTAGGTATTCAAGGGAGTTCAAGAGAGGGCAGTGGCAATGGGCTGAGAGAACATCTACCTTCATCCTCATTCCCCTGTTGCCAGCAGCGAGATGACCAATGCTGGCTGTAGATATGGTTACCTTTGGTCCCCATGGAAGGTCTGCAGGCCTGGAGGTGCAGGTGTGGGACATCAGGGCACCCCCCTGGCACTACCATTTTGTTCTTCAGGGCTCCTTTTCCACAGCTTCTGGAAAGCTCTTAGTGTTAGAAGGGAATGGTCTTTGGACCACTGAGAGACAGAGGTCTGCATTGAAGTCTGAATCCTGCTTCTGGTTAGCCCTGGGACCTCAGGCCATTTCCGACATGTCATCCCCTCCCATTCCCCTGTTTACCTGTTGAATGGAAACACTCTGTCAATTATAAAGTATTACACAGAGTTAAAATATTATTGTTAAGATTTGGTGATTACATGGAGGTTAGCTTGATTTCTATTGAGCACATGTATATGTGGTGGGAGAAGAACTTCAACAGGGAGTTAAAGGTCAGAAAATGTAGTATATGTGCTGTGGAAGCGAGCACAAGTTCAGAAAATTTAAAAAGGCGGCTGCTGGCCAGGCGCGGTGACTCACGCCTGTAATCCTAGCACTTTGGGAGGCTGAGGCGGGTGGATCACATGAGGTCAGGAGTTTGAAACCAGCCTGGTCAACATGGTGAAACCCCGTCTCTACTAAAAATACAAAAATTAGCTGGGCATGGTGGCGGGCGCCTGTAATCCCACCTACTTGGGAAGCTGAGGCAGGAGAATCACTTGAACCCAGGAGGCAGAGGTTGCAATGAGCTGAGATTGTGCCACTGCACTCCAGCCTGGGCGACAGAGTAAGACTCTGTCTGAAAAAACAAAGATGCGGCTGCTGACAGGCATAGAGGGAAAAAAGAGCAGAGTGGATACTTTTCACAGAGTGTGATCAGTTATATAGACCAGAGGGAAGAAATTGGGGGACAGAAAGGGGGAAAAGCTATCTGGGCCTTAAGTTAAAATCTATGAGAGATGACTTTTTTAGTGGGAGGAGCTGGTGACTTAAAAACTCTCTCTGCCTACAGGGGCTCCCATTTGACTGTTAGAGACTTTTTCCTTTGGATGAAACATGGTTCTTTCACCACAATTCTCATTTAAAATATAGATATTTCTTGAAGGGGTAACATGTTAAGCTATCTGTTCCTTTTCCTGTTCATTTTCCTACTGACAGGGGCAGCCTGGGTAAAAGTGATGACACAGAATTATCTGGAAAGGGAAAATTGAAATCAGGATGTGGAACAGAGGACTTTAGAGACTCTTCTTCATCACTTTGCTTAGGTTTTAGTTTCACTGGGATTTGCTGAGAGGACAGGGAATGAGTGTCCCAGGGTGTCTGCCTGAGACTGGAATTGAGGAAGGGGTGAAATGTTAACCAGAGAGCTGGGAGGGCAAATCCCTGGTATCCAGAAGCTGAATAGCACTTCTGTTCCCTCACTGTATGCTATTGAGTGTGTTGGCCCAGCATGGTGGAAACACCGCATTCCCAGGCTGAGCACCTCATGCTTCTGCAGAGAAAATGCTTTTCCGCCTCAGCTTGTGTCACGCCAGATGCACTCTGATCTCAGAGGGAAATGTGTGCTACTGGTAATTAATAAATAACCTATCACAGTTTACAAAAACCTTTCAAATCCAGCACGGCATTTGGTTCTCATGTGTTCCTCTCAGGGTGCTAGATGAAATTCTGACTCTAATTCCTCTAGTAGATGAGGAAATGAGAACACGGAGTTTCTTAAGATTACTCACTTGGAAAGTCATGGAGTTACCCGGAAGCAATATGGCTCGCCCTTGCACCAAATCTCACTGTTGACAATGACGATGGTGGGTGCTTCTCTTACTAGAATATCAGTTTATTTCTCCAGCTCTTCTCTGAGGAAAATAATACCCCTGAGGACAAATTTGAGGCACTGTTATGTGAAATGCTGACTCCCTGAGAAGGAAGGGAACGTTGGAAGCCGAGAATGCTTGTGCAGTTCCTCTCATGCTGCAGTTTTCTGGTGCCATCTGCTGCTCTGTTCAAGTAATGGCAGACGAATGGCTCTTGGTTGAAGGAAGGCAATGGTTGTAGTGAAGTGCGTCTTTAGGGTAACAGAATTGAGTTTTTATCAAACTGGGGTGTGTGTAGGTCATTGTACTCATTTCAGTGGTTTATGAGGACTTTTTAAAAGTTGTCTTTTCCCAAAACACTAGGATTGCAAGGAAAGATCTGATGTGCAACTTATGGTATGCTATGCTATTAATTATATCAATGAATAGTTGCATGTTAAGAGAGATAGAGAGAAAGAACAATAATTCATTCCAAAGGAGGGAGCCCTCCAGTAGACTCTGAGCTATTTGAGGGTAAGAACCAACTTAGTTATCTTCGTACCACTAACCTACCAAGTGCCTGCCACCAGTTGTGGGCACCAGTGAAATATATGCTCATTCTGTCACTGATGGTACAATTTTGGGTACAGTGGCATATGCATGAGACTACGTACATCCGCCCTGGCCAGCAGTCTTCTCAGAACATGAGTGAGTTAGGGAATTCTTCTCTTATTTCCACAGAGGCAGGTAGCCTGAGCATGGGGGATATACACCTTTAAGAGACAAATACCAATCCAGTTCTTTACAAAGGACAGGGCTGGATTTTGTTTTTAGAGGCCAGTTAAGGAATGTGAAAAGATGACAGCATTTAATCCATAAAATGAAGAGAATGTGACATAATCCATTTGTAGGCCCCATTCTTAATATCCACAATTAGTATTAGAGACAGGGACTCTAGCCGAGGGATGGGGCAGGAATAGGTCCTAAGTTTAGGAAAGTTTCCAATGGGGCAGAGATTCCCAAGATATATCTCTTGCCTCTAATGAGAAGATACAGAAGGGAGACTTGGAAACAGTTTGTTCTTTGGACATCTTGCTCCTGCTAACCACCTGTGTAAGGCATCGCCAGGCGTCCCTAGCCCTAGATTTCACCCAGCTACTTCTTGTGGGCTGTGGGGAGGGTATGGAGCAGCATCTGCTAATGTGGAATCTAACATTCACGTAGAATGGCTTGAGGCCTTTCTGTTAGGAAGTGGGAGTATCTCCGAGGAGGCAGAGTCTACAAGCCTAAAATGAGAGTGAAGATATTTCCCCTTCATTTTATTTTTACACTTAATTCAGCAAACAGCTATGTGCATGAACAGGTGTGTGAGTTAAAATATGCCTTTACATGTGACTATTTAAAGGAAACTTAATTCTTTTGAAAAGCAAAGAATCTTTTTGCAAAGTAAATAATCATGACACAATTCAATTGATAATCTATGAGTTAGCTAGGATGTATTCATTAAAAGGTCTTTGTTGTTACCCACATTTTATATGTTTAAGGGAATATAGAAGGACATTTAGTCTTAGACCAATAAATGGATTAGCTGGTAAGTATTGAGGCAAAAATACATGTTCTTATTTATAAAATTATAAGATTATCTATACAAAATTATATAATATTAACATTATAAATATACATTATAAATTGGTTTCCAGATCAACTCTCCAAAATCAATTAAATCTATGATACAGATGAAATCATAACATTTGTAACTAAAACAAGTAAGAAGAATGCTGATAGAATGTTCAAAATTATAAAGGAGATAAAAATATTGAGTAGAAATATGTGTTTAGTTCTCGTTAAGATGTTTGAGTAAATGTTTGAGTATTAAAAACACAAGAAGAGATTTTTGTAAAGCTTGAAGAACTCCAAGAATTTGAGATGTTGGTGCCTTGATTCTTGTGGCTAATTCAATCTAAAACCGTGTAGCTTTCCTGTCTGGGTAGATATATATATTAGCTTTTACTTATGAATTAGGCAATTTCTCTCTCAGAATTGAAACAGAGGAAGTAAGGAGAGATTTCCCTGGACTTACTAGGTAAGATCTAGAAGACAAAGATGGAGGAATAGAGTTGGACAAAAATATGTATGGGTGTGATCTTGGTCTGTGAGTGATGACTGGCCTGTAAGTGGAAAAATTAAGAAAATCAGCTCATGAGAGTTTGCATACTTCCCTGATTCCTGAAAGAAGAGAATCTTTATCTGCTGGAGTTTCCATGTTGACTGACAGTCATATATGTTAAAAGGAGAACAACATTTTACATGTTTAATGACTTTTGGAAAGTCATTTGCAAAGTTTTTTTTTTTCTTCACACAGCAACATTATACAGTGGTTTGGGAAAGGAATTTCAATTCAGGAATTTTATTTAAAATCAAAATTCAATTGCCTTCCCTAAACTCCTTTAAAGTTGCTATTTTTTATTCTGATACCACCAGTGAAGGGCCTAACTCAGGCTTCTCAGGATGACATCCCAATAAAATCCCGTGGCAACCAAGCTCTTCGCGACAAGTACTCAGCCGCCTTTCTATCTCTGTGTGTGTCGAACAGGCAGACAGCCGTGAGTCATCAAATACACACTGGGGTCATTTGGGAGCTAATCTTTATAAAGATGAAAACTGCATCTGAATGTTTATTGTTGTCTTCACTTCAGTGCAAGATAAAGAAGCTCCGTCAAGTAACGCAGTGGGCCCTCAAAGTGTGGTCCTGGGACCAGCCATGTCAGCATCACTAGAAAACTTGTTAAAAAAGCAGTTCTCCAATGAGCACACATGGACACAGGGAGGGGAACTCACGCACTGGAGCCTGTCAGGGAGGCGGGTTGCGGAGGGAAAGGGAGAGCTCAAGATAAATAGCTAATGCATGCTGGGCTTAATACCTTAGGCAATGGTGAAGCGGCTACGTTACCTGGGGTATATATCCTGGGGTTCGTTGTGGTGCGCCAGGAAAATTTAGGACACAGACACACATGAGGAGTTTAGGAGCAGAGGTTTAATAGGCAGAAGAGAAAAGGAAGATAAACAGCTCTCTCTATAGGGAGAGGGGTCTCCGAGCGGAAAGGACCCAGCCAGCGGTAAATGTGCCAGGTTTTACAGTCAGATTTGAGGACGTGGTGTCTGATTTACATAGGACTCACAGATTGGCTCGATTAGGTACGATGTTTACATAGTGCATGGGGAAGGCTGGTTCCCCGCCCTAATCTTATTATGCAAATGGGCTTTCCAGTTCATTGGGGACATCCTGTCTGCTCCTCACTGTACACATGGCTGACAAAGAGAAGGGAAGATGGAGCTGCCATCTGAACATGTCTAGTCCCTAGTTCCTGCCAGGATTCACCCATGCAAGCTCCCAGCTTGCTTATTTATGTCTGCAGCTTGACTTTACAGGCTACTCTGTTAGAACATGATTTTGGGCTGCTTTTCATTAAAAAAAAAAAAAAGGTCTTACCGTGGACTCCCATAACCCTTACTATCTGCCTAAGTGATTTCTTCTTAACTCCTATATCAATGGGCTGACAGGTGCAGCAAACCACCATGGCACACGTTTACCTATGTAACAAACCTGCACATCCTGCACATGTATCCTGGAACTTAAAATTAAATTAAAAAATTAAAAAAAAAAAAGCAGTTCTTGGGCCCCATTCCAGACCTCTTGAATCAGAAACTTGGGAAGGAGGGTTCAGTAATCTGTGTTTTAATACATCCTCCTGGGGATTGTGATGCAAGCTCAGTATTGAGAACCACCGAGTAATGTGTGAATGAGGTCAGGAGAGCTAAAGAAGTAGGCTAAGGGGAGAAGTCAATTCAGGCTAATTCACTCCAAAACACCAACGTTATTATATATCTGAAAGAAAATTGAAAGGAATCTTAAGAATGATCTTCCTCAGGGTTAGGAAATAAACTAAACACAGCCTGAGGAACAGTGGGAAAGGATGGTGGATACTACCACCAATTTTCTCTTGGGGTTGAAGCTGGAAGTGTTAATCAGGTCTACCATACCTTATCTAAAATTTCAACGTCACCAAAGCTCTGGCAACTGAGAATTTTACTGTAAGTTTGGTACCAAAACTCATTGGTGGCAAAATCTAACCAGAGTTCATGTGAGGCTTTACATTCATCATATTTATCCCACTTCGAGTGAATATTCATATTTTGCTTTAATTATCAACTTAGTTGTAGGATAGCTCTGCTGGGGAGGCAGTGGGTCTGAGAGCCACTACTAAGGAGGAAGTTTAGCCCTTCTCTGTCCAATGCTCCCCAGATTGCAGTTTCCTTGGGCACAAAGCCATAGCTTGAACCACTTTGAGGCCCAGTAGCTTAGACGGAGCCCTGTGTGCTGAATGAATGGGAAAGTTCCTATCATGAAAAGGTGTCATCAAGGAGGTCCAAGTGACCTCCAGTTTTCAGAGTTGAGGAAGTTACCTCTGCCGTCATCACACCAGGCCACTGAACTCTCAGAGCAAAGACCAACTGGAAGTGAATGTAGAGATTACCCTTCCCCTCCTTAGAAAAAAAAAAAGATTAACTAAACTCTATCCTTTATTTCAGTTGCATAGTTTTTCTGTAATATCCTTTCTCCACTTAGTCACCATGTCTCCTTAGACTCCTCTGGGCTGTGATAATTTCTCAGACTTTCCTTGGTCTTGATGACCCTGACAGATTTTTTTCCTTTTAGTTGGCATGTAATAATTGCACATATTTATGGGGGTACAGAGTGATATTTCAATACCACTAATTTCTTAATTTTTCCACTTACAGACCAGTAATCTACTCACAGACCAAGATACCTGCATCTGTATTATCACACTCAGCCATAATTTTGTCCAACTCTATTCTTCCATTTTTATCTTCTAGATCTTACCTAGTCAATCCAGGAAAATCTCTCCTTACACCCTCTGTCTGTTTCAATTCGGAGGGAGAAATTGCCTAATTGGTAAGTAAAAGCTAGTATATATATTTATCTACTCAGACAGGAAAGCTACATATTTTTTATTATTTTATTTTATTATTTTTTTGAGACAGTCTCATTCTGTGGCCCAGGCTGGAGTGCACTGGTGACATCTCGGCCTACTGCCACCTCCGTCTCCCAGGTTGAAGCAATTCTCCTGCCTCAGCCTCCCAAGTAGCTGAAATTACAGGTGCCCGTCACCACACTCCGCTAATTTTTGTATTTTTAGTAAAGACAGGATTTCATCATGTTGGCAAGGCTGGTCTCGAACTGACCTCAAGTGATCCACCCGCCTCGGCTTCCCAAAGTGCTGGGATTACAGGTGTGAGCCACCGTGCCCGTCCAGAAAGCTACATGTTTTTAGACTGAAATACCCACATACATTGTGTAGCAATCAAATCAGGTTAATTAGCATATTCATCACCTCAAACATTGATCATTTCTTTATGTTGGGAACTTTCAAAATCCTCTCTTCTAGCTTTTCAATATATGCAATAAATTATTGTTAACTATAGTCACCCTACAGAGCTACATAGAACATTATAACTTATTTTTCTTTTTTAGCTATAATTTTGTTTCTGTTAACCAACCTCTCCCTATCCTTCCCTCCCTCTATCCTCCCAGCCTCTAATAACCATTATTCTGTTCTCTATTTCTATGAGCCCAATTTATGTTTTTAGCTTCTAGATGAGTGAGAACACGTGGTACTGATCTTTCTGTGCTTGGCTTATTTCACTTAACATAATTGACCTTGACAGTTTTGAAGGGTAGTGGTCGGGTATTTTGTAGAATTCCCCTCTATTGAATATTGATGTTTTATCCTCTTGATTAGACTAGGATCATGGGTTTTTGGAAGGAAAACCACAGGTGGAATGCCACTTTTATCACACCATATTAGGGGTTATCCTTGACAGGGCTCTCCTTAGCTGAGGTGGTGAACTGGTTGCTATCTCATCATTCTCTGTATATCAGGACCCCTGCCAGCCTTTGATGCTCCAGGGTTATGCCTATTGCCACAGAATTCAGAGTTGAGTTTTGGCTGGCTCAGCTGTGCTGGCCTTGCCAGTGGAAAAAAAAATCCAACTCAAACCAACTCAAGAAAGGAATTTCTTGACTCATGTTTCTATAAAACCCAGAATACTGTTTTTAGGCATGGCAAGATCCAGGAACTCAATCACAAGCATTCAGAAACTCTCATGTATTGGCTGTGGTTTTTCTTGGGTTTCATTTTTAGGTTGGCCCTCTCCAAATTTTAGAAAAGATGATTCCTAGACATTCCGGAATCTTTGTGTGATCCCAGAGCTAGGCTTTTTAGAGAAGAAGAGCATGATAATATGAAAGCCCAGCAGAAACCCCAGGAAAGCACCATGCTCAGCTCAGGTCCAATGCTTATTTCAGGATCAGCAGCAGGAAATGCGCCACTCTGATTGGTCAGGTGTGAGTCATGTGCCCACCCCCCTGCCCCCATCTAAAACCACGAGGACTGAAGAAGAAGAGCAAAGGGAGAGAAAGCTGAATGACAGTACACATATGATGTCTTTAGTGACATCCAAAGTCCTTTGTTAAAATGGAATTAGTAATATGTATAGGGGGACTTTTGAGAGCAAAAAGAGAAAATTTACATAATGTTACCTACACTTAGTTCCATGGAAAGCCAGGTGCTTTTCTAAGCATTTCACATATACCAACTCACCTATTCTATAGAACTGCCCTAGGAAATAGACACCTTTATTAACTTAATTTTACAGACAAGGGAACCCAGGCACAGAGAAATTAGGTAATTCTCCCACAGTTATATGACTGATAAGTGGCAGAGACAAGACTTGAACCCAGGTATTCTCACTCAGTATGTTCTTAACCATCTTATGATACTGTCTACTGAGAAAGTCATATGGGAGGGGACAGGGAAGTGCTGGGTAGAGAAGGGGTGGGTCCCTGGTGAGGGCTCCACCCTCGGGCTTGTGCCCACAGACCTAAGTGAGAAAAGGAACTTCTGTTTTTGCGCCAAAATGTTGCATTTTCCAAGACCACTCTGGCCTGCCATGCCCCCCACCCTGTGCCTATAAAAACCTGAGACCGTACCAGGCACAGGCACAAGCGGCTGGACATTGAGAGGAGCAGAGGAGCAGAAGGCTCAGACACCAGCAGGTGCCAGCAGGCCGTAGATGGCGGGAAGATGTGGAGTTTGGTTGGGGGTGGTTGGAGGAGAGTCTAGCCGCTGGGTGGCCCAACTCCAGGGGAAGACCACCTTACCATTCCATCCCCCTTCTGGCCTCCCCATCCATCTCACTGAGAACTACTCAATAGAACCTTGCACTCATTCTTCAAGCCTACATGTGATCCGACTTTGCCGGTACACTAGGGCAAGAATCCGGGACACAGAAAGCCCTCTGTCCTTGTGATAAAGCAGAGGGTCTAATTGAGCTGATTAACACAAGCTGCCTGCAGATGGCAAAAGCTGAAAGAGCACACTGTAACACGTGCCAGCTGGGGCTTCAGGAGTTGTAAACAGCCAACCATAGATGCTGCTGTGGGGTCGGAGCCTAAAAAGGCTCCCTATGACCTGCCGGTCTGCATGCTCCTCCTAGGGGGTCACTGAAGATGCAAGCCACACCCCTGTCGCATGCCCTGCGTGGGGGATAAGGGAACTCTTCCCGTTTCAAAAGCATTGGACAAAGTTAGTTTGCTGGATGTTTCCTTTGGGACCAAGGCCCATATGCAATTGCTGGGATTGTTGGCTGTTATTAGTTCAGAGCTGAGTCCTCATCTGAATGGAGCAGCCGACCCCAGGGTTCACTCCATTCTTGGGGACAGCCTCCATCCAGTGACTGCCTGATGTGGAGATCAAAGGCCTGTGCTCCTGGTCCCTGTAGGGTCATCGCGATGCCAGAGCTTCCTATCAGACCAGTCAACATGCCCTTCAACCTCTTACAGGTATCATTTCTGGGACCACTCCCAGTAAAACTTTTTCTTGCATAAAAATCTCATTTTAGAGTCTATTTTCCAGAAAACTCAACTCAAAGAAGCCAACTGCTGTTCTTCATACTTGTTCATTCCACAGGGTCTAGCATAATGAAATCGCAAATTGACTCCAAGATGAATGAATGAATGAAGATATATAGGCATTTCTCAGGAGGTGTTAAGATGAGACATATTGACCCCATTCTCTTCCTGATAAAAGGGCCTCAAAATACATAAAATATTGACTTAAGCCTTTGCTTAAGGGTCACTCTACTACAAAGCCTTTCCTTATCAACTGGTATAAAATTCCATCCCCCCTCTATTACTCTCAGTCCGTCTTACTCTGCTTTATTTTCTTATCATAACATTTATCACCAAGTATCTTCCTCTCTCTTTGTATCTCTGTCTCTCAATTTCTCTCTCTCTAAATCTTTCTTTCTCTATATCTATTTCTAAATCTGTATTATCTCTATCACCCATCTATATCTATCTTTAAATCTCTATTATCTATCTATTGATAAATATCTATAGATCTCTCTCTTTAAATTACGCGCGCGCACACACACACACACACACACACACACACACACACCCCTCCTTCTGCACCCAATGAGATACAAGATTCAAGAGAGGAAGAATTTCTATTTTGTTCATTTTATCCTCAGTGCCTACATCAGTCTCTGGCTCATAGTGGGTGCTCATTAAGTATCTGCTGAATGAGTGAAAGCTGAAAACAAGGAGATTAAAGTAAGAGAGAGGGCCGGGCACAGTGGCTCATGCCTGTAATCCCAGCACTTTGGGAGGCCGAGGCAGGCGAGTCACCTGAGGTCAGGAATTCAAGACCAGCCTGGCCACATGGCGAAACCCTGTCTGTACTAAAAATATAAAAATTAGCTGGGCATGGTGGCAGGCACCTGTAATCCCAGCTACTCGGGAGACTGAGGCAGGAGAATCGCTTGAACTCGTGGGGTGGAGGTTGCAGTGAGCTGAGATTGCGCCATTGCACTACAGCCTGGGTGACAGAGGGAGACTCCGTCTCAAAATAAATAAATAAATAAACAAACAAATAAGAGAGAGGCGAAAGGGCAACTCACAGAAAGAATAAGCTGGTAGCACAGAGAACACCAGCAGCAGCCCTGCTGAGACATGTACCATGCTCTGAGGCTCAGACAACAGCTGTGATCTACACAGTGCACCCCTTTCCTCCTGGGCACAGGCTTGTACTCTGACCTTGAGTCTATTTTCTTCAGACTTCCAAGTCTGGATCCTTTTCCACAGGCAATGTCGAGCCTGCTAATTACAGAGTGTGTGATTTTAGACAAATCTCTTCCTCTTTCAGCTTTAATTTTTCTGTCTGTAAAATGAGAATTCTGTGCTTCTTACCTGATAGGGACTAAATGCAATACCTTACATAAAGCTCTTAGGAGAGTCATATACACAGTATGCTCAATAGATTCTCTGATTGATTGTGGTATTTGTGCAATACTAGGAGATGTATGATCTGTTGGGGGTTTTACAGAGGGGATTTATGCTCTGGACTGGAGATTAGACAAAGATTAGACAACTTAGCTTCACTAATTCTAAGTTTGTGGTTTGAGGTGACAATCTGAATGGAAACGAATTTGCTTTTTCTAACCAGAGCAAAGCTCACTCTGTTTTGATCTGAGTAGGGCACTTTTCCTTAGAAACATACATACGTAGTTTTGCAATACAGCACAGGGCAGTGGTTAAGAGCATGAACTCTGGAGCCAGATCACTTGGGTTTAATTTTTGGCTCTATAACACAGTAGCTATGACACTGGGCAGTTATGTAACCACCTTCTCCCTTGATTGTTTTAATCTTTAATATGGGGATAACAGAAAAGGGAGTAGGTCTACTGCACTCAATTTTTCTTAGATCTTATAGATACCTGTTTGAGCCTGCACATGGACGGGTCTTGTCGCAACTGTCATGTGATGGCTAATTTATGATTGAATGTCTGGACAATAAAGCAAGATGATGCCAATGGGATTGTAAGTAAGTGCATTAAGAACTGGATGGTAGGCTGGGCATGGTGGCTCATGCCTGTAATCCCAGCACTTTGGGAGGCTGAGGCGAGCGGATCATGAGGTCAGGAGATCGAGATCATCCTGGCCAACATGGTGAAACTCTATCTCTACTAAAAATACAAAATTTAGCTGGGCATGGTGGCACGCGCCTGTACTCTCAGCTACTCGGGAGGCTGAGGCAGGAGAATTGCTTGAACCAGGGAGTCGGAGGTTGCAGTGAGCCCAGATTGCACCACTACACTCCAGCTTGGCGACAGAGCGAGACTGCGTCTCAAAAAAAAAAAAAAAAAAAAAAAAAGAACTGGATGGTAGAGCCAACTGATGTGGCTAACTAGTGTTAGTTTTTGCAGCCATATAAGGCAATTATTCAGAGCTTCACAGTGGCAGGCCTTCCGGCAATCTGGCAAGATTTCTCCTTGGATGGCCAGAATACCATTGCCCCTGACCTGTGCATAGCTCCTATCAGAAACCAAGGACGCTTGCAAATTCCCCCTCCCCACGCATCACCCCAGTTTGATGTTCTCTATAAACATGTGATGAAAGTGTATCCTTTGAGCTCTGTAGTAAATTGTGGTTTTTAAGATTTTTGTGTCCAGGTACCCAATTCTATCAGGCCTCTAACCTAGTCATTCATAGAATCGCTTCAGTTCTAGGTAGTTCTGGAGTGAACATTTCTTGTTTCTCTAATCACCTTTTACTTATCCTCTCCAAAGGAAGATAAATTGCTGATGGTTGAGTATGAATCTACTGGGCCATGTACAACACAATGGCTAGTTACGATGCCGCCAAAGTGAGAATCTGACTCGACTTTCTCTTGTGCTATAAATCTGTAGGAAGGGAGAGGGATTTAGCACTGCCATTCTCTGGGAGCTAAGTGGACTGAACAGGATCTGCTTGTTTACCAGTGCCTGATGGCATATATGAGGGAGATTTTGACTGCAGGCTGTCAAGTACAGACTTGGCGTTATACCCTGTTTTTATTTTATGTTTTTTTCAAAAAGATTAAACATCAGCCATTAGTGAAGCTGCTATTGCAATTGCCACTTGGGCTGGTGAACTTTGTGAATGTTCTGATAGGTTAGAATTGTGAGAAGTGAAAGTGAGGCAGGAGGGAATATTGATTCCCTAAACTCTAGCACTTCGAGATGTACAATTAAAAAAAAAAATTTTTAGAAGTGGTGAGGGAAACACAGGTTGCTGAAATGATTTATTGAGAGGTAAGGCTAACTACACAGGGACATAGAATGTGGAATGATAATCATTGGAGACTTGGAAGGCTGGGAGGGAGGGTGGGGGATGAGAATTTACTTAATGGGTATGCTGTATGTTATTTGGGTGACAGATACACTAAAAGCCTAGAATTCACCACTATGAAATATATTCATGTAACAAAATTGCACTTGTACTGCTTAAATTTGTACAATTAAAAATTTTGAAAATAAAGGCAAATGTAAGCATGCTTTCTTTAAAAAATTGGGTGTTTCATTGAAAGATAGAAAAATTCTGCATCTTAAAAATTCCAGTTGGCCTTTTAGTTACTTTGTGGTCAATGATATTGTCTCACCTTTCCAATATCCATTGGAATAGTGATGGTATCTAGGAATACACAAATATAAATGATAGGAATGCCCTGATCCAAGGGGCAGAGGTCTGTGAATGGCTCACAGCCACCTTTCATAGTTCAGGATCTGAAATTCTGTGTGTCAGGGGCATGTGGAAGTGGAAAGCACACATTTCCCTATCTGTGAAGTGTCTCTCTTTCCCTTGACGGGTCTGTGACTTCTCTTGGACTCTCAAAGTTCAACCAATCAAAGATGAATTGATTCTCAAAGTTCAATCAATCAAAAATGAATTAATTCAAAGTCATTAAGTTTGTAGCTTGTGCTATGTCTTTAGGCAACACTTGGGTAGTGAAAATAAAATAAAGAAAAAAAGCAAAAAGCAGTGCTTCTGAAGGGTGATATTGTTTCAAGAGATTAACAAAGATTTGTCATGCATTCCAGAGCTGTGGGGTGGCAGTGCACTGCAACTTGTTGTTAGAGCCTGCTTGTTGCTGCCATCAAGGTCAGGCTGTCTTTGCCACCCCTCAGTGCCCATCAAAATAATGCATCGATAACAAAAGCTGTAGCAGCTTGACTGACTTCTGCTGCACCCAGAAATTTTGGGGATAAACTACAAGGGGAAGCTTTGAATTTCTCTGGTGTGAAAGGATACCCTCCATTTCCTGCTAATTAAGCCATATTAGGAGGAGGCAAAGATTTGTGGCAGATGAAATCAAAGCTGAATTGAGAACATTATTAACGAAAATTAATCTCTAAGCTCTCCTTCATTCCCTTTTCTCTAGACTAGCATGGTTTCTTTCTTTCTATATAGCCATTTTAATATTCAGGCACAATTTTCCTCTTAATATTCAACTATTGTTAGCATGATACTTATATTTTTTATAGTATTTACAAGGTCTTTTAAATTAGTCTTTTTCACTGAACATTTATTTTTAAAATAATGTTTTTATTATGAAAAAATTATATGATCATTATAGAAAATTTGGAAGCAAGTGGCAGTGACAAAACGTAATAATATATTAAGTTAATGATAGATACGAAATTTCTATAGCCCAGTTCAGGCCTCAATTCATCAAAAAGGTTGCTTAGGGCCCAAAAGATTTTTTATTGTAGGTGTATTGCTATTATTGCATTTACCATGTTTTAAAAAATCAAATCATTACCCGTAGTCTCATTCAAGAGCAGGTGCACTTTCTTACTCATTTTTCTCCGTAAGTTTCTTTTAATCATCAGTTTTTTGCAGCTTCTTTGAGGTATAATTGACAAATATTAAAATCCACATATTTGTTTATTTTTATTTTGACTTTTTTATTTTTTAATTTATTTTTTCTTTTCATAGGTTTTGGGGGAGCAGGTGGTGTTTGGTTACATGAATAAGTTCTTTAGTGGTGATTTGTGAGATTTTGGTGCACCCGTCATCCAAGCAGTATACACTGTACCCTATTTGTAGTCTTTTATCCCTCACTCCCTTTCCAGCTTCCCCATCACAGAGTCCCCAAAGTCCATTGTATCATTCTAATGCTTTTGCATCCTCATAGCTTAGCTTCCGAGTGAGAACATACGATGTTTCAAATCCACATATTTAAAGTGAACAATTTGATGAGTTTGAAATACATTTATATGTATCTGCGAAACCTTTACCCAAATTGGGTTAATTATCACCTGCTTCTCGCTTCTTCAGGCAACCACTGATTTCTGTCACTATAGATTAGTTTGCATTTTTGAGAATTTTATGTGAATGGAATCTTATTTTTTCTAACCTCTTTCTCTCAGAATAATTTTTTAGAGATTCCTCTATGTTGTTTTGTATATTTATAGCTCATTACCTTTTTTTTTATTTGAAACAGGGCCTTGTTCTGTTGCCTCCACCTCCCGGGTTCAAGCAATTCTCCTGCCTCAGCCACCTGAGTAGGTGGGACTACAGGCACGCACCACCACGCCTGGCTAATTTTTGTGTTTTTGGAAGAGACGGGGTTTCACCATGTTGGCCAGGCTGAGCTCATTCCTTTTTATTGCTGAGTAAGAATATGCTACAATTTTTTATCCATTTATCTATTGATGTACATTTGGCTTGTTTCTAGTTTTTGGCTACTACAAGTAAAGCTGCTATGAACAGTCATGTATATATTGTGTGGACATATACTTTCATTTCTCGTGGATAAATAGCTAGGAGTAGAATGGTTAGGTCATATGGTGACTGCATATTTACATTTTAAGAAATTGTTTCTCAAAGAGGTTGAACAATTTTACATTTTCACTAGTAGTGTATGAAATTTCTGGTTGCTCCACATCCTTGAAAACACTTGATATAATCAGTCTTTTCAATTTTAGCCATTCTAGTGGTTATGTAGTGGTGTAGTTGAACATTTTTTTCATGTGCTTATTTGCTATTTGTATATCTTTTTTGAAGTGTTAATTAAAATATTCTGCCCATTTTTAATAAAATTGTGGTGGTGGTGTTAGAGTTTTTAAAAAATGTATTCCAGATATCAGTCCTTTAACAGATACATTATTTGTAAAGATTTTCTCCCAGTCTAGGGTTTCTCATTTCCTTTTTAAAATAGTGTCTTTGGATAAAGTCTAATTTATGGTTTCTTTTTATTCCTGTATCCAAATCTTTGCCAAACTAAGGTCACTATGATTTTTTTTCCTATTGTGCTCTAGAAGTTTTATAATTTTAACTCTTGTATTTAGGCTTATGTTTTATTTTGAGTTAAATTTTGTATATACTAAGCGGTAAGAATCAAGGTTCATTTTTGTGCATATAGATACCAAGTTGTTCCAGAACCATTTATTGAAAAGATTATTCTTTCTCTTTTAAATTGTCCTGGCACCTTTGTCAACAATCCTAAATATGTGGGTCTATGTTCTATTCTAATTCATTTATTGATCTATTTTTATGCGAATACCACACTGTCTTGGTTAATGAAACTTTGTAAAAGCTTTGAAGTTAGGCAGTACGAACCCTCTGGCTCTTTTTTCAAAGTTGTTTTTCCAAAGAATTTTCTACAGAGTCAGTCGTGTTATCTGCAAATAAAGCCAGTTTTATTTCTTCTTTTCAAATCTGGATGCTTTTCAATTTTATTTATTTATTTCCTATTGCATAGAATAAAATCTCCAGCACTGGATACACATGTTCTCTGTCATAAAGAGAGGTTATAATTCTCAACTAGAGGAAAGATTTATGAAATGTTCCTTGGTGTATAGCATTTTAGATTTCAGTTATAGAATGAGATTGTGTGCTCAGGATTACCTGTCTGCAATGCCTGATATTTTCCTCTTGGGCAGGCATCCAACTAGTATCTGAGAGGGAAATCCAGTAGCCAGAAGGAAGGAATCTGCTTTACATTAATTCTCAGGACAATATTATTTGACTATATACAGATAGGATAATGATGACATGATAATTATAGGCAGGAAAGCTATGAAAAATAAAGCTTGAAGTAGGATCTGAACACCTCGTTTTTGAAGGGTATCTCCAAATATTTTATTGGAATACCAGATATATGAATTTCTCTTAAGTTCATAGGCTTCAAACGTTCTAACAAAGCACAGTCCTGAAAAAATAACTTGAGGGGCTTCACCGAAGAAGATATACAAATGGCAAATAAGCACATGAAAAAAATGTTCAACCACACCAAACATTAGGGTAATGCAAAGTAAAATCACAATGAGACATTACTACATACCCACTAGAATGGCTAAAATTAAAAAGACTGACCACATCAAGTGTTTTTAAGGATGTGGAGCAACCAGAAATATCATACACTACTGGTATGTAAAATTGTTCAACCTCTTTGAGAAGTAGTACACATATGCACAGAGTCATATTAAAATGTTACCTATGCAACTGTCCTATACATTAAAGTTATTAAAAGATCTGAACACTTAGGAAAATAGGACTGAATAAGCAATTAAGTATTTTTTTTCTTTTCCTGCAGGTGAAATTTCTCAGGATTAAAAAATTCTCTAAAAACATCCTAAAGGAAATTTTTTTTCAACAATTTTTCTTCTATGAATTCACTTTTCAGTTCACATTTCTGGAGAAAAAAACTCAGTGAAAAATTGATGAAAAATGTTCATCTAAATGGCAAAATATTCTAAGCTAAGCAAAAAGCATTTTTTAGATGCCAGTGATTGAGTTACCAAGGGTGGGTATTGGTTGCGTAGGATGGAGTGAGCCCAGGAGGTCCCGGCTAGGAGAGTATCACTACTGACCCCAACATATGCTGGGATTGTTGGGTTTGCCTAAGAGCAGCGGGGTTTCAGTTTATAGTACCTATCTCTCCCCACCCCAATCCTTTTGTGATCAATAGAATATATTAAAATGACAGCTTGCAAACTATGAAAAAGCTTGCAAACCTCACAGAAGAGAAGTCTTTAAAAACTATTAAAAATTTTAAAGACACAGGGTCTTTCCATGTTGCTTAGGCTGGTCTCAAATTCCTGGGCTTAAGTGATCGTCCTGCTGTGGCCTCTGTGTAGCTGCTGTGCCATTGTGCATGGTGAAGATAAGTTTTTTAAAATTATTATTTTTGTTTTATTATACAAGTAGTATGAGTTCTTTGGGAAATCAATTTAAAAGCATATTTCGCTATCCAAGTAAACATAAAAATATGCACTTTATTTTTATTTTTATTTTTTTTTTGAGATAGAGTCTCACTCTGTTGCTCAGGCTGGAGTACAGTGACGAGATCTCAGCTCACTAGCAAACTCTGCTTCCTGGGTTTAAGCGATTCTCGTGCCTCAGCCTCCGGAGTAGCTGGGATTACAGGCATGTGCCACCACATCTGGCTAATTTTTGTAGTTTTAACAGAGACAGGGTTTCACCATGTTGGCCAGGCTGGTCACGAACTCCTGACTTCAGGTGATCCAACTGCCTCAGCTTCCTAAAGTGCTGGGATTACAGGCAGGAGCCATTGCGCCTGGACTACATATTATTTTTTTTAACGTATAGATATCCATATATTTTCTAAAATATGGGAATCAATATATACGTATAGATTTATCCTTAAACTTGTTTTATAACATACAATTTTCCATATACTTAAATATTCAAAATCACAAATATTAATATTTTATAACATTATTTCATATGTATATAATTATTTAATCAATTCCCTGTATTTAACAATTAGGTTGTTTCCAATTTACAGCATTACCAGGATTGCGGAGATTGATATTTTTGTGTTTATTTAGATTATTTTTCCATAATAAATTCTCAGAAATGAAAATATTGCTGAAGGATCAAAACACTTTTGAGATTTTTGCACATTTTGACAAATTTTGACCTAACAGATTCCTAGTAGCAGTGAGTGAGAGTACTCATTTCATCATATACCTGACAGCAGTGAGTATTATTTTAAAAGACATACATGCCAAGTTGAGGGAATAAAGTGTTATCTCTGCTTCATCTTTCATTTCTTTGATTACCAGTCATGTGGGACTTTTAAAACATAACTGTGTTAATGGTCATTTCTATTTACTCTTTTGTAAATGATCATTCTTTTATTTGATCAATACTTATTGATTGCCCACTATGTGTGAAGCACTGCAGAAGGTGTAACATTCAGCAGCAAATGAGAGAGAGACAGCCCCTGCCCTAATGGAACATAAAGTTTTTTTTTTCTTTTGAGGACAGAGTCTCAGTCTGTTGCCCAGACTGGAGTGCAGTGGCACAATCTCGGCTCACTGCAACCTCTGCTGCCTGGGTTCAAGTGATTCTCGTGCCTCAGCCTCTGGAGTAGCTGGGGTTTCAGGCGTGTGCCACCACATCCGGCTAATTTTTGTATTTTTAGTAGAGACGGGGTTTCAGCAGGAATCACTGCTGACCTCAGGTGATTCGCCTGCCTTGGCCTCCCAAGTTGCTGGGATTACAGACGTGAGCCACTGCGCCAGGCCTTTTATGGTGGTTTTTGATGTGAGTAAGTGATATACAAAAGTGTAGGAAAATTGGTCTCCCTCTCTTTCTGGTTTATTTTTTCCTTTATCATTGATTAGAAAGATATTTGAAATTCTAGATTATAAATTCACATATTTATTATTTCTTCTGGGTCTCCTGAGTGTAGTTTTTACACTTAATAATTAAATCCATCCAAAATGTACATTATTGTATCTTGTAAGGCAGTGATTTATCTTCTCACTGAAACAGTTAACTCTCTATTTTAACACTATTTATGAAATAATCCTTCCTCCTCTTGAATGATTAGTCATCTCACCTTTATCATATACTAAGTTCTTTTTGAGTAGATATATATTAGGATCCATTTCTGGGCTATTTGTTTCTACCATCAATTTTTATGTGTGTACTACGTTATTGTAGTGTCATAATATGTTTTATTATCTGGTAATGTAAGTTCACTTAATTTATGTGAGAATCATTAATTAAACTGGTTTTAGTAGCTGCTGGAGTTCAGCCTGACTGATGAGATTGCATGGTTTTTATGATGTCGTATAAAGATATATAAAAGCAAAACCTTTTCTTTTTTTCATATGGACTTTTTTCCTTTGACTATAATGTAGCACATGTTGTAAAACTTTGGATCTTCCAGAAAAACACAAAGGAGAAGATAAACATCACCCAATTCTGTCACCAGAGAGAGCCTTTTAAAATATTTTGAATCTTATACCTCTGGCCTTTTAGAGATGCACATGATACATATTATTTTATATTATCCTGCAGGGATTGTGCCTTTTATTTCTAACGATATCTCAGTGGAACACTTTCTATGTCATTAAATACTCTTAGTCTTTTAAAACATTAATTTAATGATTTCATATGACATGTAGAATGTATCATACTATATTTAACCATCCTTAGGTTTATTTGCAGTCTCTATTTTAAATGGTGCCACGATGAACATTCTTAGGGAGTAGGTTAGAGGTTTTTTTCTCTTTTTCACTCATTTTTCTTCTTTCTCCATCGTGTTTGGAAAGAGGTATTTTGGTAAACTGGAGAACAGTGATAGCTTTGATATGCTAAACGCATCAGACTTATCCCAAGGAAACCTGTTGATATGGTTTGGCTGTGTCCCCACCCAAATCTCATTTTGAATTTTAATTCCAACAATTCCCACGTGTCGTGGGAGGAACCTGGTGGGAGGTAATTAAAACACGGGGGGTGGGTCTTTCCCGTGCTGTTCTCGTGCTAGTGGATAAGTCTCACGAGATCTGACGGTTTTAAACACGGGAGTTTCCCTACACAAACCGTTTCTTTGCCTGCCGCCATCCACGTAGAATGTGACTTGCTCCTCTTCGCCTTCTGCCATGATTCTGAGGCCTCCCAGCCACGTCGAACTGTAAGTCCATTAAACCTTTTTCCTGTATAAATTATCCAGAGTTGGGTATGTCTTTATCAGCAGCATGAAAATGGAGTAATACACCTGTTAAGAGTAGCAAGGAATGATGCCATGAGTAAAAGATGGAATCAGGCGGGGCGCAGTGGCTCAGCCTGTAATCCCAGCACTTTGGGAGGCCGAAGCGGGCGAATCACCTGAGGTCGGGAGTTCAAGACCAGCCTGACCAACATGGAGAAAGCCCGTCTCTACTAAAAATACGAAATTAGCCGGGCGTGCGGGCGGATGCCTGTAATCCCAGCTACTCAGGAGGCTGAGGCAGGAGAATTGCTTGCACCTGGGAGGCAGAGGTTGCAGTGAGCCTAGATTGTGCCATTGCATTCCAGCCTGAGCAACAAGAGTGAAACTCCGTCTAAAAAAAAAAAAAAAAAAAAAAAAGATGGAATCAGCTGCCGAGTGTGGTGGCTCACGCCTGTAATCTGTAATCCCAGCCCTTTGGGAGGCTGAGGTGGGTGGATCACAAGTTCAGGAGTTCAAGACCAGCCTGACCAATATGATGAAACCCCATCTCTACTAAAGATACAAATATTAGCCAGTAATCAGAAGTTAAAGCATTCATTCCTTAATCTATTCATCAAATGGCTAAGAAGTTTCTAAAATGCTCTCTTCTATGGAATATGAAGATAAATGAGATTTGACCCCTAACTTCAAAGAACCCGTGATCAAAATTTGTGTCTATGTGTGCGTGTGTGTGTGTGTGAATGAGGGAGATACACAACAGGTAATTATGATATAACACAATAACTGATATACAGAAACATGAACATTTTGCTTGATCCATAATTAGTCAAATCACTAATCTGAGTCTCTTGTTTTTACCCACTATTCCATGCTCCTAATAAAAATAACATTTGAAAATATCAACAGGGATATCTAAATAGATACACATTCATGTCCTATGTTTTGCAGTATGGTGTGCATCCTACATGTACAGGGTCGATTTTTCTACCTCCCTGAGATAAGCTCCCACATTAATCTGCTATGGTACTACTTTCCTCCCTTTATCAATGATTCAAAGAATAACAAGCCAGACATCCTTGGCAACTGAAATCATTTCAATGTATTGAAATCATAAGGTGTACTGGTTAGCTATGGACTGTGCTGTCTCTTAACCCATTCAGAAAGATGAGGGTAGCCGGGCGCGGTGGCTCAAGCCTGTAATCCCAGCACTTTGGGAGGCCGAGGCAGGCGGATCACGAGGTCAGGAGATCGAGACCATCCTGGCTAACACGGTGAAACCCCATTTCTACTAAAAATACAAAAAATTAGCCGGGCGCCTATAGTCCAAGCTACTCGGGAGGCTGAGGCAGGAGAATGGCGTGAACCGGCAGGCGGAGTTTGCAGACAGCGCCACTGCACTCCGGCCTGGGTGAAAAAGAGTGAGACTCCGTCTCCAAGCAAAAAAAAAAAAGATGAGGGTCACCAGCAAAATTTCTTTCATTTTACATTGTTGATATCTCTGTTTTAATCCGTAGTCCTTGTGGAAGGTGGCTGTTGCCTGTTATACCTTGTGAGGGGGCTTAGCTAATCAACCCTTATTAATTAGTCACTAATATGGGCTATGTACCAACAACTGTTTTCACTAAGTGGTGGCAGCACTAATTGATGGGGCATAATGAGCCCCTCCCGAATTACGAAGAAACATTGCTCCTTACCCTCTGTAGATGATCCCTTATAGATGAAGGGCTACCAAGGGAAGGCTGGAACAGGCATGGGATGGCAGGGTCTAATTTGTTTTTAACCTGCTTCTAAGAAGTTGCTTAATTAATATAGGATTAGCACATTTGAAGGCTTGAACAGGTGCAAACACACACTTGTAACCAGCTGTGTAATTGACCGCAGTGCAACAAGCCAGGTCTGAGCATGCAGACCTCACTAATCACCTGCTGACCTCCTATCTGTGGCTGTAAAAAGACCTGTTCTTTTTAGTGCAGGATTCCCTGAATCTATCTGGAAGGCCATGTATGTTGGGATGAGTTGAAATTTTTGGTTTTTGAGCAAACCTTTGTAAATGGGTTCATCTCCACATATGATACCCCAGAAACATTGCTGCTCCCCTTTTCTTGGTTTGTTTCTGTGGCCTTACTAACAATCTGGGGAATCTTGTGGATGTTGTACAGATGCTCCTTGCCTTCGAGGGGTTACATCTCAATAAACCCATTGCAAATTGAAACTATTATAAGGAAAAATGCATTTAATACACCTATAGGTTTATCAAATGTCATAGCTTAGCCTAGCTGACTTTCAACATACTCAGAACACTTATGTTAGCCTGCAGCTGGGCCAAATCATCTAACACAAAGCCCATTTTACAATAAAGTGTTGAACATCTCGTGTAATTTATTAAATAACATACTGAAAGTGAAAAACAGAATGGCTGTATGAGTACTCAAAGTATGGTATTTATTGAATGTGTATTGCTTTTGCACCATTAAAAATGAAAAATAATTGTAAGCCAAACCATTGTAGTCGAGGATCATTTGTATATGCTGTGGTAAATAGGTCTCCAGGCTTAGATCTCAAAGAATTCCAGAGTTCTAGGAGCCTTTAGGAATAGCTACCTAGTTCAGGGGTTGGGAAACTGCAATGTGGAGCCAATTCAGCCTGCGACTTGTGTTTATAAACCAAATTTTGTTGGAAAACAGCCATGCTTATCTATGTATTTATCCATGTTGCTTTTGTGTTACAATGGCAGAGGTGAGTAGTTGTGTCATTGAGCATATGATGTGCAAAGCTGAAATTATTGACTCTCTGGCTCTATACAGAAAAAGTTTCCTGACCCTTGAGATCAAGGGTCCAATCCATACTATATTTTTCAGCTTTTGTAGTAAAATTAAGTAAATTGCCCTTTATAAAAAGTTTTCAAGGAGCTCACTGTCTAGCAGAGGAGATGAAATACCCAAAATATGTGTAAATTCCTTCCAAATTGCTATTTCTCGTACGTGAAATCTGATTTTTAAAAACTTCACTTCTCATTATTTTTTATTTTCCTGCACAGTAGATTGGGATCTAGGCCTAAATCTAGTTCCTATTCAGTCTGTGTCACCATACCTGGCATCAGTGTATCATATATTTGTTAATTTGTTTATTATCTGTCTTCCTCTATCACAATGCAAGCTTCACAAAAGAAAAACTTTACATTTCTTATTCACATATCCCTAGGGCCTAAAATAGCAACCTGAAATATACTGGATACACAAAAAAACTGTGTTTTATGGAATCTAAGAAGCCATCGGTTGTAAGTTGTACCATTATTTTATATACCACTAAGAAAGAAAAAGCACTGGCAATTAGTCTGTAACACATGCTGAGTCTCCTTGATTGAAAAATACATCCTTGTTCCAGAATTGTTAAGATGTGAAACAATATGCACCTTAAAACCAATGAAGAAGGAGAATTGTCAAGTAGGTGGGAGAAGTGGCGATCTTATAATGATTTTCAAGGCTTAGCTAACATTTTGTCTCAAACCAAATCACAAATATTTATTGAGTAATTGCTTTGTGCAATATTCTGGCCTGGTGCTTCCTCCAAATCATCCCTTACCATAGCACCTTGGGGAACTCCTTGGCGTGCATCCCCCAAGCTGTAGAGACTCAGAGTCTGACGAGCCAATTTAGGACTTAATTATATACTCCTTTTATTGATCACCATTGTTTCTAATGACATAGTCTTTTCTCCACAACTAATTGGTAAGCCCCTTGAGCGCAGGAACTGGTTTTTTAAAGAATGATGTATTCTTCACAGTGCTTTCCCTTTCTGTTACCCAGGGAGCACATGGCAATATAAGGGCTCCTGGGATTGAATCTTAAGTACAGAGAAAACCTAAGAATGCTTTTAGATAGACAGATAAGAGACCAGTAGAGAAGAGCAGATTGAAGGTATGTGTGAGAAACGTTATGTAATGAAAAGATAATTGATGACACACACTTCCAGAGGGTGCTGGCGAGATTGATTCAAAAGCACACGGCTAGGGCACTGAGTAACGAGAAAGAAGTTGCAGATGAAGGATAAATGGACAGGAATAAGAAAGGGCTTCATCATTTAAGAATCTGAAAGAGACAAAAAGGTAAGGAAGGGACTAAATGGGAAGAAAGGGAGAAAACAAACCTTTTCTAATCTCATTAGCTTCACTCTTCCAATGTCCTCCCCACCTCTTCTCAAGGCTCCAGAGAATTTGTCTCCAAATGAAGCCCATTCTCTCTTCTTTCTTGTTAATACTGCCTCCTCTTCTCCCTCTCTTCTTACTACTTTCCCTCCTTAGGCCTACTTACATCTTCTTTCCTCATCAATTCAAAGCTTTCAATTGGTCTTTCTTAGTAAGACATCTCTTTCTAGATTTAGACATATTTTAGGAATTATGAGGACAGAAAAGCAATGCAGGGGAATATGGGGAAGAGGAAGGAACCTGTAATTTATGAATCACTTTTTTTTTTTCACATCTCCTAGGATCTTTACCTAGACCTTTCATTTAATCACAGACACCTTCCTTTAAAATTTTAGATACCCGTCCAAGGGTTCACTAGCAAAGCTGTCGCATGAATTCCAGTCCTCTGGTTTCAGAACCCATATACTGTGCTGACTTTTTTATTTTTATAACATCATGTTGCCTTTCTATAGAGGTAGTTCCTTCTTCTAATTATGAAAGGCTCGTGCTTATGTGTATTCTTATGTTTAATGCCTAGTTTTCATTACTTGAAGAGATTTTGGCAAGATTTAGTACTTTTTAAATATATTTAATTGCACAAGTAATACAGGTCCACAGGAAAAACGATTGAACAATCGTGATAGGCAAAATGAAGAAAATGAAAAATTATCCAGCATCCTTTGTGCCACGGCTTTCAAAATCAGTAAGATGAAAACCAATCCTCCTTCATTACAAAGTATTTTGAATAAGAATATAAGCTTAAGTGCTCATTCAGCAGCAGACAGACATGGGCTAATAGCTCAATGGCCTAACATTTCATCCCCGGACCAAAGCATTAGTTTTAGGCCTTCTTGTGTGGGATCTGTGGATTGTTTTATTTTCTTTCCTAATGAGCAATTGGACTAAAGGATCAGGTTTAATTATAACTAGAGTCCCTTTCTGTTTGTACATCACTGCAGACCTAATTGTAGGCTGGCATCCCTGCTGCGGCCTGAGTGGTCATTAGCTTGCTGATAATGAACTATGCTTGTCAACATGGCCTCATTAACCATTGTTTTTTTTTCAGCAACATGGTTGTAAGGGTTTGAACTTGTGATTGAGGATGTGCTGGACTCATCGTGCTGAGAGAAACTTGTCCAGTTACGTGGTTAGAACCAAAGAGTTTTGGCTCAGACAAGTGATGCTATCCAAGGATAACTGGATCTATGCTGCAGCCTCAGGAATGTGACATGTCAGGAAGAACCCTGACCTGAGAGTTAGAGAGTGAGATTCTTATCCCAGCTCTGTGCTGTGTAGCCCTGTGACTTTGGGCTAATTGTATCACTTTCTGTCCTCTAGTTTTCTCACCTGAAAATAAGAAGGTTCTACTCAATGATTGGTGAGATAACTTTTTGTCAATAAAAATAATTTTGCATGATGCTTGTGCAAACATTTTTTTCCTTTTTTTTAATCAGTGATTTTATCTTCTTAGGTTATACACTAGAGGGCAGTGGTACATTAATATTATAAACTATGAATGCACTTGGTACTGCATTCAGCTGAAAGTCATAGACATTTGAATTAGGAAGGGATCTTATCTATTTCTCATTCAAAATATAGGAAGCTGTTCTGTAGTGTCCCCAACAGATATTCTTCATGACCCTGTTGAACATTCCTAGTGTTGGGAACTTTGCTACTTCGCAAGGCAGCTTTTTTTTCTTGTTAGTTCTACTTATTAGAAAGTTATTTCTTCAATTAGTGAAAAACCTGCTTTCCTATAACTTTTATCGCTGGTCTTGCAACATGGCAGAAAACTGTATCGCCTTCTTGTAATGGCATTTCACATCTTTTATAGAGTCGTATTACTGAATAACTGTATTTACCATTTATTGGTAATTAGTAATTGTAAATTATAATTTATTGAGTATCAACTATGTATCAGCATTGCACCAGGCATCTTATTTACATTATTTTATTTAATTCTCACAATAAGCTCTGAGGGAATTTTCATCTTTATTTATCTGTATTTTACAAAGGCTCAGATCAAAACCACGTAACTGGTAAGCCATGTAGGTGGGATTTGAACCTAAGTCTGATGAAAACCCCCTGCCATTGCTCACAAAACAACACCTCCTTTTATAAAGGTGAAGACATAAGACCCAGAGAAGGGAAGCAACCTGCTTGAGATCACACAGTAAATAGGAATAGAGTAGGAACCGGATTCTAGATCTTTGGAGAACACATTCAATTTTTCTTTGCCGTACAGCACAGTGCACTCAAGACCGTTGTCATTTAAGTCCCAAATCCTCTTTTCTATATGTTAAATGTTCCTGTTTCCCCTCATTGTTATTCCAATGGTTTCTTTGCTGTCCTGTCATGTCCTCTGAGTGTGCTCTTAATTTGCTGCATCCTTTCTTTCTTTCTTTTTTTTTGAGACAGGGTCTCACTCTGTCACCCAAGATGGAGCGCAGTGGTGTGATCTTGGCTTACTGCAGCCTTGACCTCCCAGACTAAGGTGATTCTCCCACCTGAGCCTCTCGAGTAGCTGGGACCACAGGTGCACTCCACCATGCCTGACTAATTTTTTGTTGTTGTTGTTTGAGACAGAGTCTCGCTCTGTTACCAGGCTGGAGTGCAGTGCCACAATCTTGGCTCACTGCAATCTCTGCCTCCAGAGTTCAAGTGATTCTCCTGCCTCAGCCTCCCAAGTAGCTGGGACTACAGGCATGCCACCACGGCCAGCTAATTTTTGTATTTTTTGTAGAGATGGGGTTTTGCTGTGTTGCCCAGGCTGGTTTCGAACTCTTGAGCTCAAGCGATCCACCTACCTCAGCCTCCCAAAGTGCTGAGATTAAAGGCATGAGCCCATTCTTTCTAAATTATAAAACTCAGAATTCAAAACAGTGCTCTGTTTGAGTAGGAGAGAAGTCACTGAGACTGTATTTCCTGTCATTTGGACTTAATTTTCTATTAACATTGTCTAAGGTTGCATTAATATTTTAATATAATGTTGGCTTATTTCAAATATAAGGTCAAACATACCTCTTGTTCCTTTTAGTTTTATTTTTATGAAATATAAGAACAAGACAGAGTGGTCCTGTTATGTTCCTATCGATAGAAAAAAAATCCTCCCTATCTGATGAAGAGTCTTTCTGAATTGATAGTAACCTAGAATAAATTTCTGGGTTCTTAAGATATTCAAGGCATATGAACATGAAAATACTTGCATTTCTGGGATGATGATTGGATTCATTTTATATGTCAACATCCATGGTTGTTTTTGCTTTCCTATCAGAAATGCATGCTTGCTGTGTGTTGTAGACATTCATTGCTGTTTCCTTCCTGCCTATTATCTTTTGTCATAGCATGACTTTGACATCCTTTTAAAAAAGGCTATGTGCAGCCCAAGAGGAGCTGTTGATCAAAGGGGCCCTGTCCTTGTCTAGCCAAGAGTTGGGCATACGAAGCAATGCTCTTTGCCTCAGGACTAGAAATCCTGATTCTAGTGGTATGGAATGGAGAATTAGCAGTGACTGATTCATCCTGGTAACACCAATGCCTGACTTTTCAATATTTCCTTTGATCTGTGAGCCAATAATTTTTAAATATATATATGCATATATATAATTTTAAAAGTTAGAATCAGTTTCTGATGATTGCAGCCAAAGCAATCCTCACTCATACATCAATCTTTGGGATATATTTACTTTTTTTGAAATAGCCTTATCAGAAAGTTCTACCTTTTCATGACATAGCAGAATAGCTCATCTATCCAACAGAGTTTGTTAACCTATCTATCATAGAAACTTTTCAAACAATTTTTGGGATGACAGTTTTTAAACTATGTTTTCCACATCTAATACAATGGATGTGTGCTGAAAAACTAGTGAGAAGTGAAATTTCATAAACTGACTTTCCTAAGGGCAATTGCCGGTCAAAAAAAAAATCAACGTTGACATCCAATGTTGAATCATTTTGAATGCTAATCATCCATCTGTTTTATAAATTTAAAATTTGATGAATTTAGCTTTCTTTTTTTCCAAGAGGGAAGCATTCTCATGTTTTTAGTTAAATGCTAATTCATGTTTGAAACCTATTAATATATAGTTTTGGTGGCAATATTATATCTTTATTTAGGCTGTGTATCATAGGCATTAAACCATCATAGCAATGGGACCTTTTCAATTCTGTTTTTCTTACTGTGTTCTTATCTGCACACTGGGCATCTCTTTCATGTGGGAAAATTCCAAATTCATTTGTAGTTTTATTCCTGACTTTCTGAGCTTCAGGTTCACATTCTCAACTTTTTGCATGAAATATTCATTGGATTTTTCTAAAGGCATATACAGTTCCATGTGACATCCTCAAACCAAGTTCTTTATCTCAAAGGTCAGTATTGAGAATATCATTTGCTACATTATAAATCACCTCTTTGATGGTCCAAGGTGGAATTTTCTCCCTGTTTTCAGTACAGAGAAGAAATGAGCTTTTCCTAAGTCACTGACTTGCTCAGTTCTCACGGACCCTGTGGCTCTTCCAGAGTTGTGACTATTAATACAAAGACTCTTTGAGCCAAAATCATGGCCTCTCTGGCCCACTTGTGGCTTCCACTTACTTTTCTATCCCTGTTTTTCTCTGGCTTCATTGTTTTCTTTCTTTTAAAAATTTTTTATCTTGTTATTTTACCTTACTGTATAGTATACATTTTTGGAAGCTTCTGTAAATCTTTTTATTTCCCACTGGATAGTAAAAACTAACCACATGGATTGGTGCCTTTTTTCCACCTGTCTTTTTCTGTTGTTTAAAATTCATCTCTTTGTTAAAGGCATCTTTAAGCTGCCTACCTCTGAGGCTTAAAACTTGGAGTCATTTAAAGTGCTCTCTATCCTTCATTCTCTGTGTCTGGTTGTCCTGTTCTCAGAAGTTGTTCAGTTGTGCTTCCATAATATCTCTTGCAAACTGGAGAAAAAATGGAAAGGTGGTCATCTGTCTGGAAAATTAGGGGACAGAATTTGAGGAGATGTAATGATCTCCATCCCTCAGATCACTGATCTTTTGGTAAAATCAGCTGCTTTCCCCCCAGTCTGTTCTATCTTTTACCTTCTTACTATGATTATTCTACCTGGATTAATTAATTCTTCATTACCAGTCATCTGGATGACTAAAATTATTATATAATTGATTTTTTTTTGTCTTTAGACCAGTGATTCTCAAACTGGAGCATGCATCCACATTCCCTGAAGGACTTGTTAAAACACAGATTTCTGGACCACACTTCCAGAGTTTCTGATTCAGGACATCTGGGGTGAGGCCCAAGGATGCGCATTTCTGGCATGTTCCTCGGTGCTGCTGCTGTCCTGGGGACCACATTTTGAGAATCACTGCTCTAGACTGTCCCCTTCTCCATGCTACACACTGCTCCCAGGGTATAGTTCTTGGAGGAGTGCTACTTTTCTCAAAAGTTTTCATTGCCCCTGGATTGTTTATTGAATTTATTTTCACATGTCAAATGTCCTGCCTTGTATTCAAGACCCTGAATGATCCTAATGCAACTTGTCACTTTCATTTCCTGGTGTTTCTCCCTAGTCTTGTAATACTTTTTCTCTTCCTTTCCTAATCTCTGCTTATTGATGATCCACTCGTTCTCTAGGGCTCTACTCAAATCACATCTACTACATGAAGCCTTGCCTGATATTGCCAGTTGCCCACTGAAGGTCAGCCTTCTTTTATTCTCTTACAGTGTTTTCAGCATTATGCCTTTAATTATTAGTGTAGTTGTCTTCTCTCTTCTACTGAATTTAACAGACTCCAAAACAAGAAGCAGGGACCTCATGCCTTATACACGGAAGGTCTTTAATAAATTCACTTGAATAGCTGCTGTATAGAGGTTTTAGGGTAGGGACATAGAGGATGAATGTTACTATAAAACAGATGTACAGTTTTCCTGAGATCACATTTTTGTGCTAAAAATCATGTCATTGCCCACTGTCAGTAATACAAGTGAAATATTTCACAAAACATACGATAAGCAATTAAGACTTAAAACCCCAAATTATCTCATCATACCATGAGATTTCAACTGAATAGTAATTTTTGTCTCATCTTGACTATTGCCAAAGTTTATTAATTAAATATTATGACCAGTTTATGGACCAAATTATATAGATGAAAGTCTGTCATAGGAGTACACCCTGCACTTGCCAATTTGTAAATAATAAAATGTTATCTTTATATGCAG
The DNA here is from genome assembly GCF_000001405.40 of Homo sapiens. Lineage (NCBI taxonomy): Eukaryota > Metazoa > Chordata > Mammalia > Primates > Hominidae > Homo > Homo sapiens. The sequence continues at coordinate 18,533,254 of NC_000006.12, forward strand.
AAAAGTGAATAACTATATTAAAATAGCCTGGCCACAAAACACTGTTTCTGGTGTATTAATAGGTGCTGTATGTATAAGGGGGTTTTCTATTATATCAAATACTTTTAGAAAATTCTAGATTAAACTATGTTAAATCTTATTGAAGACTCCTCAGAGTCCATATGTGCTAATACGTTGTAGGAATCTTTAGAAGGGGGCATATAATATTTACCACTTTTTAAAGTTCTTTTTTTTTTTGGTTCTAATTATTTTATTGTACATGGCTTTTTTTTTTTCTTTTTGAGAGGTGAGGTCTTGCTATGTTGCCCAGACTGGTCTCAAACTCCTGGCCTCAAGTGATCCTCTCACCTTGGCTTCCCAAAGTGCTGGAATTACAGGTGTGAACCACTGCAACCAGCCTATTTTATTTTATTTTAATTTGCAGAAAAGCTCATCATGATAACTTTCCTTACATCACATTTTGGGAAGTTAGGTACAAAACTGTGTTTGTTTGGAAAACAGGAATTGCCATTGCAATGACCTGAAACAGGTAGCACTGAGCCTTAGATGTGTACCTGCCTTCACCCATGATGAAAATGAATCTCATGGTAACAACCCTGGGTGCACAGTCAGTGGATTTCTTTTCTTTTTTTCTTTTTTTTTTTGAAACGTAGTCTCGCTCTGTCGCCCAATTTGGAGTGCAGTGGCATAATCTCGGCTCACTGCAAGTGTGTTGTTCCTGATGTCATTCCCTGCATTCCTTTGGGGGGTGGGGTTGTAGGAAGGTGGGTATGTGGATTGGTATTAACGCAGTAATGCATGTCTTTAGCCATTTCCTACTGGTTTTCTGAATTATCTGCTCTACACCTAGATTTTCTACTCTAAACCTCATCTCCTTCTATCTCTTTTCTGGCTGTCAAAGAGAAGAAAAATGCTTTTGCATACTGTGTAAATCTTTGATTAAGAGGGCAGCAGCAAATTCTAATCTCTTTGATCTCTTTACCTTTAACCAGTCTTTTTGGGAGCATTTTCTGCGTCTGGTAGCATCTTCTTCTTTTTAAATCTACAGGTTGAGTATCCCTTATCCAAAATGCTTGGGACCAGAAGTATTTCAGACTTCTGTTTTTTTCAGAGTCTGAATACTTGCATATGTACAATGTGATAGCTTGCGGATGGAATCCACGTCTAAATACAAAATGTTTCCTGTACACTTATACACATAGCCTGACAGTAATTTTGTACAACATGTTAAATAATTTTGTGCATGAAACAAAGTTTTGACTGCATTTTGACTGCCACCTATCACATGAGGTGAGGTGTGGAATTAGCCCCTGTGGCATCAATGTTGGTGCTCAAAAAGCTTCAGGTTTTGGAGCATTTTGGACTTTCTTTTTCTTTTTCTTTTTTTTTCTGAGATGGAGTCTTGCTCTGTCACCTAGGCTGGGGTGCAGTGGTACGATCTCAGCTCATTGCGACCTCTGCCTCTCGGGTTCAAGCCATTCTCCTGTCTCAGCCTCCTGAATAGCTGGGATTACAGGTGTGCACCACCACACTTAGCTAATTTTTGTATTTTTGGTAGAGACAGGCTTCACCATGCTGGCCAGGCTGGTCTTGAACTCCTGACCTCAAGTGATCTACCCACTTCGGCCTTTCAAAGTGCTAGGATTACAGGTGTGAGCCACCATGCCTGGCCTGGAGTTTGGATTTTCAAATTAGGGACACTCAACTTGTGCCAACGTCTTCTTTGATGTTGACTTGCTTCCAGTTTGGATCTGGAATTTACTTTACCATTGTCTTAAAATAAAATGTAGTGTGGTGAAATATTTTTGAACTGTTTGTTGTCTGAGTACCCAGAAATGATACTATATCTCTTTCCAGGAATATTGTCTCACAATTTTGCTAATTTATTATCCTATATCCCCTTGCCATTGCTGTACTTGACTCAGAGATCTTTTTTCTGAATCCTACAATCAATGTCCAGATGACCACTACGATGTATCTGTTTCCCTTAATCATGGGGCTAAGGAGCATTTACGAAAGTCTTATAATTATTTCTTCTGACCTAGACATGAGGTCCTCTTTCATCCATGTTCCAACTGCTTTTATCTCTTGTTGGGGGCACACACACTTGTCTTGCTGATTGATATTTGAAGCCCTAGGCATTAAATGTCCATAGTGAACACTTTCTTCCAGTTTGGTGAAAAATGACCAAACATTCTTGAGCTCTGCTTGTAAATCCATGTCCTAGCCATAGTCTGAGTTTTAAAATTGCTCAACTGGGGATTTAAAAACTCCACCAGATTCTCATTTTCCTTTCAGATTTTTGTAAGGTTCAAATGATCTAGTAAATGTGAAGCTACCTTGAGATCTCATATACTTTTCCCCAATATTCTGGGTCTCACTTAGCCTTTATTCTTTGGTCCTTACCTTGGGGTGCCTAACTTTGCAGCCTGACAAACTAACTTCAGAGTAGATCTGCCTCTTGCTCCGTTTCCTAGCAATGATAAAATGGTGGATGGGCCTCAAAATGATGGAAGATTTTTCTATTCGAAACTGGAAACAACAGTGAACCTGTCAAAGTGTGGCTAACGTGTCACTGTCTTCATGACATACAGACAGAAGAAGGAGATGCCAGTGACAAGCAAAGTAACTCCCCCACGGCATGGGAAGAGCCAGCATCTGCTGCTGTCCAGGAATACAGTCTCACTGCTGCAGTCAAGGAAGGCCAAAGAAGCCACCGGGGAAAACCAACCCATCCCGGGGACACTGGAGGCTCACTCCTTCCTCGCTGCATTCTGAGGCTGCTGCTTTGGAGTGAGAGGTAGAGAAACTCTCCTTCTGTCTATAGCTCTTCTAAGAACAACAAAACATGATGCTCCAGGAAAGCTACTTTTGCATCTTTTCTAAGAAAGCCTCCTTCTGGCTCTGTTTTCTCCTAGATTATCCTCTGCTTCTCCTGAAAGAGAAGGTGATATGCCCAGGACCCTTCCTGAGTAAGATGTGTTCCTCAGAGGTTAAAAAAGAAAAAAAAGCCCCAAACCCCTGAAACCAAGAAATCAAGACAGCTCTGGTGGAGAAGCTTTTGGGAACTTGCTGGGGCAGGTGAGGTCTTTCAAAGCTTAAATCAGTCAAGAGGTGAGACACTTTCTCTCTAGAAACTCGGGTCATAGCCACCCCTCTGAGATATTCTTCCCTCTGCTGATGTCATGTGGTGTGGAAACCCTCTTCTCGTGGCTGAAAACAATCCTAAAGAAAGTCAGCCTCATCTGGGGAGGGGGTGCAGCGGGGGGAGAATGGGGGAATGTCCCTGGCCAGGAGGCCGGAGGTGCCCCAGGAAGCTGTTTCCTCTGAATAGTTAAATGGCTGCCTCTCAACTTGCACAATGTCACATTGAATTTGAAACAGGGAACTTTTTATATTTTTTCCCTGATTGTGCTGGCACCTGGCAGATGCCTATTTACCACAGGCATCAATACACATAGTAATCAAAGGAAATCAGAGGCACAGATTAGCAACAGCTGCAAGTCATTAGTGACAGACACGGGAAAGCACAATTCTGCACCCAACTTTGAAATAACCAATATGAGTATTTCAGAGCACGAGGGTTACCGCAGGGCACTCGCTAACATGAGAGCAGCCAAACAATAGCTGGGCTTGTCTCTCCAGAGAGCACTCTTCTCAAAGGCAGCACCACACACTCCGTATTATAAACCAATCAATCACATGATATTGGTCCACTGAACGTTAGCCCTTTGCAGAGTCCATGTGCTGATCTGATCTTCTGACCAAAGGTTGTTGAACTGAAAAATAACCTCTGGCTGGTGGAAAACTTTGTTATCGCCTGTCATAATTTTAGTGGTGGGAGTTTGAGTGTATTTCTGATGACTTAATTATATGATTGACCTAGTTGGAAAGGGGCATATAGAGGGGAAAACAAGACATTCCCCTTTCGCATTTAATCTCATTTTTCCCCAAATTTCTATTTGAAAATCAGCTATGATTGATAGCCGTTCTCTTGGTAGTTACATATTTTCATTGGCAACACTAACCTTAGCCTACTCCAAAAAATACTATTCAATTTTTAGCTTTTCCCTAATCAATTCATTCAGTGCCTCAGTGGAATACAAGTTGGTCATTTAAAAATTTCTAGCTGTTGCCTGATATGTCCCAAAACAAATTTAGCCAGCATGGGTTTCTATTTTAGACCATCTCTGGAAATGCAGATTTACTGTACAACTGGGTAATGGCTTAGAGATAAACAGACACAGTGAGCCGCTGTCTGATTAGCAGGACTGGGCGAAATTTAGCATTATATATATACTGCAATAATTGGACCATTGCACCATAGGATGTAAAGTAAATTGTTCTCAGTGCCATACGTGGGCTCTTCTTCTTTTACTTGATACTAAGGTTGGATTATTTCATTCTGTTTTAGAAATTTCTCCTTTTTCCCTGCTCTCCCTACTCAAAAATTATCTTCTGAAGGTTTTTCTAAAAATTCTTCTAAGTAAGTTGTTTTGGAGATTAGGATAAGAAGGGAGAAAATGCTGCCTTTTATCTGGTGCAGAGCCAGCCATTAAATATCAGCTCTTTAACAACAAGCAAAAAGCTATTATTTTAGAAGAAAGCTGCCAGAGAACATGGATCCCATAGGGCATCTGCCACATCATAGGCATTCAGATGCATGTTGTAATAGTCATATATGTTGTTTCTTTCCACTGTCAGAGTCAACAGATTATTTTATACTTAACTAAATACCATGATCTCTTAGTTTAGGGAGATTTGATTTCTTCAGGTCATTTTGTAAGAAAGAAAAGGTATGGTATTCATTCATAATTTTATTTACTAAAGTCAGCATATATTTTCGGGATGTCTACTATGTCTCAGGGAATGTTTTAGGCACTGTGGATACGGTAGCAATTTTTTTTTTTTTTTTTAAGACAGTGTCTTGCTTTGTTGCCCAGGCTGGAGTGCAGTGGCTTAACTTTGGCTCATGGCAACATCTGCCTCCTGGGTTCAAGTGATTCTTGTGCCTCAGCCTCCCAAGTAGCTGGGACTATAGGTGTGTGCCACCATGCTCAGCTAATTTTTTGTATTTTTTTTCGTAGACATGGGGTTTCGCCATGTTGGCCAGGCTGGTCTGTAACTCCTGACCTCAAATGATTCACCCATCTCGGCCTCCCAAAGTGCTATAGCAGCACAATTAATGAATAACTTGGTTATAATGTGCTCAACTGATGGTGAGGATATAGGCAACTTACATATGAGGTGATAGTTTGACTACAATTGTTCATTGCTTAGATCTTCTTTCCCTCCCTCCTTCCCTTCCTCCCTCCCTTCCCTCCCTCCCTTTCTTTGCCTTGCCTCTCTCCTTCCTTCCTTTTTTTTTTTCCTCCTCCTACTCTCTTTCTTCTCCTTTATTGGTACTTTGTGATTTAGACTTCAGAGGGACAAGGACAACCATTGTTGGTTACACAGGATTATTTAATTAAATAAAATATACAGTTTTGAGAATTAATCTGTATAGTTAGGATAAAGCTTCTGTAACAAATAAAGCCCCAGATTTCGGTGATAACACAGTAGAAGTTTATTCCTTGCTCATATAACTGTCTAATGAGGGTGTCTCCTGCTGAAGGAGGCTTTTGTCCATGCAGTAACTCAAGGTCTTCGACTCCTTCTGCCTTGTGGCCTTTCCAGGACCTGGAATCCTCTACTTCCCATTGGTGCAAAGGGAAACCGAGTGTGGAAAAGGAGCCATTCTTAACCAACTTGGCCTGAAAGAGGGAAGCATCACTTCTGTTCTTATTCCATGGGAGAGCTGCCTAGATGGCCCTATGTAGATGATAGAGGGTTTGGGAAATTCTTAGTCTTATGCTGAACAGACACTTTAAGGTGATGATTCTATGCCATGGAAGCAAAGAACAGGTTTGAATGGACACAATTATGAGTCAGACACTATGCTAATTTCTGGAAAAAAAAAAGTAGGCAAATCATCATCCTTTGGGGGGGTGAGAACCACATAACATAGGTACTCAACTAACCAAACATGATATTCAAGTACTAAATTAAGCCATATGTAAGCACAGATGTAGGAGCAAATAATTCACTCAGAAATGAACTCAGGGCAGAAGCTGTTGAAGGAAAGCAGAGAGGAGGAAGGAGAGAGTGTCCGACCTGAGCTAAGGCATGAAGCTCAGAAGATGTCTGATATGTCCAAAGACTGGTGAGCTTCTCGATGTGTCAGATGACCAAAAACTTGGGGATAGATGGGACTAGAATAGAGAGGGCCTTGTGGGCTATGCCTTGTGCAGCAAGAACTAGAATTGAAATGATAATATGTATTGTGAGCTTGAGGCTGCAAATACAGGTCTCCTGACCCCAGTCCTTTTTTTGGATATTTTATTCCATATGTGGAAGGATACTGATTTGTAAAACTCAAAGTCATGTGTGACTTTTTATGATCAAAGGTGTTTGGTCTCTCACTGCATGTTCTCACTTATAAGTAGGAGCTGAACAATGAGAACACATGGATACAGGGAGGGGAACAACACACACTGGGGCCTATCCAGAGGGTAATGGCGGGAAGGGAGAGCATCAGGAAAAATAGCTAATGCATGCTGGGCTTAATACCTAGGTGATGGGTTGATAGGTGCAGCAAACCACCATGGTACACATTTACCTATGTAACAAACCTTCACATCCCACCCTTGTATCCCGGAACTTAAAAAAAAATGTATTTGGTTTCTAAGAACAAAAATATATTCCTGGCAGCCATGTTATTTACTGGGTAAGAATATGTCATCTTATAAAAGAGGCACATTAAAATGTATTAATTACCTCATCTGATTTCAAGGTTAATATTTCATCACATATTTAAGTTTCCTTTCCTTTCCCCCCAATACTTGCGGTAGTGAGTGTGCTTTCTTATCATGTCAGAGAGAGTTTGAAGTTCCAGGTAGCAAAAGAGGCTGAGGTTGTCTCAGTTGTTGCAGATGGAGATAATCTTGCACCATTCTGAGTAAGCCTGGCCTGGGAGATGGACCAAAAACTGTGTCATCAGAGGATGAAGGTGGGTGACCAGTGGCAGGACATATACATTACCTTCCCCCAAAGTTTTAGTAACCAGAATCAGGGGCCTGGTTACGAGGTGTTGATGTTCCTGTACCCATGGCTTATGCTGATCTATAGCATCATTAATTTTGTAATAAATATTTGCTATCCTTTTTTTTAGGTGATCTCAAGCTAGTTAGCCAATATGATCACTCTTTCCTATACTAATTTATTTTATTTTATTTTTTTTTAGAGACAGAGTCTTGCTCTGTCACTCAGGCTGGAGTGCAGGGGTGCAAATGTAGCTCACTGCAGCCTTACCCTCCTGGGCTCAAGCAATCCTCCTGCCTCAGCCTCCCGAGTAGCTGGGACTGTGGGCATGTGCCTTCATGGCCAGCTAAATTTGAATTTCTGGCCTCAAGTGGTCTTCCTGCCTCGGACTCCCAAAGTATTGGGATTATGGGCATGAGCCACCACACTGGCCTCTAGTCATTTTTATATAAAGAGAGACCAGCATAGTGAAGTAAATTTATATGCTTTTTGTTAACCTAAGAAATATTTAATGAACATCTATTAAAAATTGAGACTCTATCTGGACCTTGGGGTGGAGAGGAGAGAGAGATAGAAATATGAGTAAACTGAGGTTTTTGCCTACATCTGGTAGAGAAGAATACAGCTGTATATAAATCATTCCTAATACCACAAAGAGTGTGAATGTTTCGTAAGAAGGAGTGAATAGAAGGGAAAAATTGTAGCTGGAGAAAATCAGGAAAGGCTTAATGGAGTAGGTGCCCTGGGAACTGGGTCTGAACTTCTGGTGGAAGGATGTTAATCTAGAAAGAGAGGCTGGAACTGGGGCACAGAGATGCATACGTACAGGAGGGAATGTTTATGGATCAGGAGTCAGGGCTGCATTACACGGGGCAGGAGGAGGAGGGAGGAGAGGGCTGTCCAGGATGTTGGCATTGGAACCAGACTGTGTAGGGTCTTGAACACATGGCTAGGAAGCTTGGATCTAAAATGGGAAAGGTCTGCCTCCAAGCTTTCAAGCAAAGAAGGGATTACCCAGATTTTATTGGCAAGGGTTCTGAAGCTTAGAGAAGTTATCAGAGATAGGTCCAAGGTTACCTGGCCAGTTACAGCATAAGGAAGAAGTGGTTCAGAAGAAGTGGCTCATTATGAAATGAATGGGGTTTATGACACTGGTCATAGAGAAGGTTTGAGGACAAAGGCCAGAGGACATGAGCCCTTGGCTTTGTACGAGGACAGCACATTTTTCCCAGTGTAAGTCAGCCAAGTGTGAACACATTTAGGGCTCTTTGAAAAAAGAGATGCCCCCACCCCCTCCAGACCCCCAACACAAAGCTTTGGCTTCTGATTTTTGTTTGTTGTGTTTTTCTTCTGTAAATGCAGGTCCAATTATCCTTACTACTTTGAGCATCAGAGAGAGTTATATGGGTTAGAAGGACTGCTTATAAAATATAAACACAGTGATGATTATCAGAAAAAACCTTTTGAGAGAATGAAGAGGCAAAATTTACTATAACTTCAAATGGATAAGTGCTGTCCAACTGGCATTTTATTTTTTTAAGCTGAAAAATATAGAATAGGAAATGCTGGAAGATTTCCTTTTTAGAACTTGGTAAAAATTATAGCAGATGAACACTAGGCAAAATCAAGGGGGGATTTTGCTCACATATGAAAGTTTATAAGAAATCTAGTTGAGTCTGGTTTCAGTATTTGCTGAAGTTTGTGGCTGTGTCAACAAAGATGGGTTAAAGTAAGCATATTTTAGATCCTAAACAGAGCAGCCTCATAGTCTGGAATAGAGAGTAGCTTTAAAATGCTTTAAAATGGGTTTCCTTTTCTTTCCTTCCAGCTGTGCCTAGAGCTAGGGGAAGATAAACTGGCATGTTCTTTGTTACATAGCAACATCTATGTTGCTATCTCCACTACGCCAGGCTAGGGAGGTGCATAAGAGCACTAAGTCCTTTCAATCAGTTGTAGTGGAGTTGAAGAAAACAGATTGGGAGAAGCTGTGTAACTGTTCAATATGGCACTTTAATACCCGAAACATTGTAGCCAAATTTTCCAAAATAGAACTGACAGTCTCATGGGTAAAACTGGACCAATAAAATGGAGCAGTAATTAAAGTACCCTCACTGACATTTGCTCCTGAATCTTTTGGTCTGACTTGGCTACTGCTATTTTCCTAATACTCTGAATATTTTGAATAGTGTGGAAAAGGGCATTAATATCCATGAACTTCTTCATGTTACTTTTGTGCCTTCTTGATTTTGCTTATCACTCTCTACCCTGATAAGAATGGTCTTTATGTTATTTATTTGACTAGTCTTCTGAGTACCTAGGACCAGGTGACCCTTTAATAACCCAATATCCCTTCGTTATATATCTATTTTCTTCCTGATGTGAATTACATTTCCTAATGACTAGAGAAGAATTTTGATCTTCTCTTTATAAAGTGCTTTGCATTTATTGTGCTTAACAATTATTGTAATATAAATTGTTTATGAGCTTAAATCTAATACTGAAGTTTTCTTGAAATGTTTTGTTTGTTGTCTTCTTCATCCTTATGGTTTGAATTAGAGGAATTTTGTAAAAAATATTTCAGGTCCCATAAGAACAAAGCCTATGCTTTCAAAGCAAAGGATTTTCAAATAGTCTTAATAGTAGGAAAACTTATTAACATTAACATAAAAGTTAATTTCACAGACAGAATTCTGGGAAGACGGTGGTGTAGGAAGGACCAGGAATCTGTCCTCATCTACACAACAACCGCCCTGGCAGAATCTGTCTGATGTAACTATTTTGGAACTCTGGAGTCTCTTAAAGGCTGGCAACTTCCAAGAGAAGGCATGGGTAGTAAATTGTGGTTAATTTCAGCCAATTTTATCTCTTAGCACAGTAGCAGCTACCCATTCCGCACACCCAGCCCCATGGCAGGCAGCCATGCACTAGTTCCTGAAGGGGCTTGTACACAGCTTGTAGGAGCCAGGGTTGGCAAAGAGGACTCTGTCCTCCAAAAATCAGGAATTCGTGCTCTGATTTCTGATTGCAGCTTCTGATTATACAGGTACAGACTAAGAGACGACAGCCATTGTTGTTACACCTTCCCGCATTGTTGCAAGTCTCTCCCTCGCTAGCTGAAATGACTTCAGAGCCCTTTCTTCCCTTTTCATTTTTTTTTCTTTTCCCCTTTTGGAGCCAGACATTAAAGAATAAAACATTTAAAAGTAACTGTATATACAGGAGAAGTCTAGAAAGTGACCATGCATACCCAGGGGAAGGTACAGGCTCAGAAACGACCTGAGACCTGAGAAAACTTTAAATTTACACCTCAGGCTGATCCTTGGCACACAGACAGCCTATAACAATACAGACAAAACCAAAAATAACAACAGCCAGCAAATCCTGGGGAAGAGGGATAATCTGATTTACAGAGGTACCACATTATTAGATCCAAATGTCCAGTTTTCAACAAAAAAAATCACAAGGCATGTAAAGGAATAGGAACATACTTTTCATTCAAGGAAAAAAAAATAAACCAATGGAAGCTGTCCCTGAACTAGACCTAGTGGTGGATCTACTAGACAAAAATTTTAAAATAACTATCTTAAAGATGCTCAAAGAACTAAACAAAGACATGGAGAAAGTAAAATGACAACAACAGCAACAACAAGAAAAACAATGTCTGAACAAAATGAAAATATAAATGAGAGAGAGAGAATATAGAAAGAAACCAACAAGAAATTCTGGAGCTGAAAAAAACAATAACTGAAATAAAAAATTCACTAGAGGGATTCAAAGGCAGATTTGAACAGGAAGAAGAAAGAATCAGCAAAATTGAAGAGAGGACAAGAAATGATTGTGTCTCAGAAAAGGAAAGATTAAAGAAAAGTGAGCAGAGCACAGGAACTGTGAGACACCCTTAAGTGGACCAGCATACACATGAAAGTCTCAGAAGGAGAAGAGAGAGAGAAAGGGGAAGAGAGAACACTTGAAGAAATAATGGCCAAAAACTTCCCAAACTTGATGAAAGCTATGAACATAAACATCCAAGAAGCTCAACAAACTTCAAATAGGGTGAATTCAAAGAGACCCACATTGAGACACATCTTTTTAAAAATCTTTTATTTTGGCCGGGTGCAGTGGCTCACGCTGGTAATCCCAGCACTTTGGGAGGCTGAGGCGGGCAGATCATGAGGTCAGGAGATCGAGACCATCCTGGCTAATATGGTGAAATCCAGTATCTACTAAAAATAAAAAAAATTAGCCATGCGTGGTGGCAGGCACCTGTAATCCCAGCTATGCAGGAGGCTGCGGCAGGGGAATTGCTCGAACCCGGGAGGTGGAGGTTGCTGTGAGCTGAGATTGCGCCACTGTACCACTGCACTTCAGCCTGGGTGACAGAGTGAGACACTGTCTCAAAAAAAAAATCTTTTATTTTAGGTTTGGGGGTACATGTAAGGCTTTGTTACATAGTTAAGCACGTCTCATGGGGGTTTGTTGTACAGATTGTTTCATCGCTCAGGTATCAAGACCAGT